>NC_000010.11:15767575-15919090 GCF_000001405.40 Homo sapiens | reverse complement strand
CACAGTGCAATCAAACTAGAACTCAGGATTAAGAATCTCACTCAAAGCCGCTCAACTACATGGAAACTGAACAACCTGCTCCTGAATGACTACTGGGTACATAACGAAATGAAGGCAGAAATAAAGATGTTCTTTGAAACCAACGAGAACAAAGACACCACATACCAGAATCTCTGGGACGCATTCAAAGCAGTGTGTAGAGGGAAATTTATAGCACTAAATGCCTACAAGAGAAAGCAGGAAAGATCCAAAATTGACACCCTAACATCACAATTAAAAGAACTAGAAAAGCAAGAGCAAACACATTCAAAAGCTAGCAGAAGGCAACAAATAACTAAAATCAGAGCAGAACTGAAGGAAATAGAGACACAAAAAACCCTTCAAAAAATCAATGAATCCAGGAGCTGGTTTTTTGAAAGGATCAACAAAATTGATAGACCGCTAGCAAGACTAATAAAGAAAAAAAGAGAGAAGAATCAAATAGACACAATAAAAAATGATAAAGGGGATATCACCACCGATCCCACAGAAATACAAACTACCATCAGAGAATACTACAAACACCTCTATGCAAATAAACTAGAAAATCTAGAAGAAATGGATACATTCCTCGACACATACACTCTCCCAAGACTAAACCAGGAAGAAGTTGAATCTCTGAATAGACCAATAACAGGCTCTGAAATTGTGGCAATAATCAATAGTTTACCAACCAAAAAGAGTCCAGGACCAGATGGATTCACAGCCGAATTCTACCAGAGGTACAAGGAGGAACTGGTACCATTCCTTCTGAAACTATTCCAATCAATAGAAAAAGAGGGAATCCTCCCTAACTCATTTTATGAGGCCAGCATCATTCTGATACCAAAGCCGGGCAGAGACACAACCAAAAAAGAGAATTTTAGACCAATATCCTTGATGAACATTGATGCAAAAATCCTCAATAAAATACTGGCAAACCGAATCCAGCAGCACATCAAAAAGCTTATCCACCATGATCAAGTGGGCTTCATCCCTGGGATGCAAGGCTGGTTCAATATACGCAAATCAATAAATGTAATCCAGCATATAAACAGAGCCAAAGACAAAAACCACATGATTATCTCAATAGATGCAGAAAAAGCCTTTGACAAAATTCAACAACCCTTCATGCTAAAAACTCTCAATAAATTAGGTATTGATGGGACGTATCTCAAAATAATCAGAGCTATCTATGACAAACCCACAGCCAATATCATACTGAATGGGCAAAAACTGGAAGCATTCCCTTTGAAAACTGGCACAAGACAGGGATGCCCTCTCTCACCGCTCCTATTCAACATAGTGTTGGAAGTTCTGGCCAGGGCAATCAGGCAGGAGAAGGAAATAAAGGGTATTCAATTAGGAAAAGAGGAAGTCAAATTGTCCCTGTTTGCAGACGACATGATTGTTTATCTAGAAAACCCCATCGTCTCAGCCCAAAATCTCCTTAAGCTGATAAGCAACTTCAGCAAAGTCTCAGGATACAAAATCAATGTACAAAAATCACAAGCATTCTTATACACCAACAACAGACAAACAGAGAGCCAAATCATGAGTGAACTCCCATTCACAATTGCTTCAAAGAGAATAAAATACCTAGGAATCCAACTTACAAGGGATGTGAAGGACCTCTTCAAGGAGAACTACAAACCACTGCTCAAGGAAATAAAAGAGGACACAAACAAATGGAAGAACATTCCATGCTCATGGGTAGGAAGAATCAATATCGTGAAAATGGCCATACTGCCCAAGGTAATTTACAGATTCAATGCCATCCCCATCAAGCTACCAATGACTTTCTTCACAGAATTGGAAAAAACTACTTTAAAGTTCATATGGAACCAAAAAAGAGCCCGCATCGCCAAGTCAATCCTAAGCCAAAAGAACAAAGCTGGAGGCATCACACTACCTGACTTCAAACTATACTACAAGGCTACAGTAACCAAAACAGCATGGTACTGGTACCAAAACAGAGATATAGATCAATGGAACATAACGGAGCCCTCAGAAATAATGCCGCATATCTACAACTATCTGATCTTTGACAAACCTGACAAAAACAAGCAATGGGGAAAGGATTCCCTATTTAATAAATGGTGCTGGGAAAACTGGCTAGCCATATGTAGAAAGCTGAAACTGGATCCCTTCCTTACACCTTATACAAAAATCAATTCAAGATGGATTAAAGACTTACATGTTAGACCTAAAACCATAAAAACCCTAGAAGAAAACCTAGGCATTACCATTCAGGACATAGGCGTGGGCAAGGACTTCATGTCCAAAACACCAAAAGCAATGGCAACAAAAGCCAAAATTGACAAATGGGATCTAATTAAACTAAAGAGCTTCTGCACAGCAAAAGAAACTACCATCAGAGTGAACAGGCAACCTACAACATGGGAGAAAATTTTCGCAACCTACTCATCTGACAAAGGGCTAATATCCAGAATCTACAATGAACTCAAACACATTTACAAGAAAAAAACAAACAACCCCATCAAAAAGTGGGCGAAGGACATGAACAGACACTTCTCAAAAGAAGACATTTATGCAGCCAAAAAACACATGAAAAAATGCTCATCATCACTGGCCATCAGAGAAATGCAAATCAAAACCACTATGAGATATCATCTCACACCAGTTAGAATGGCAATCATTAAAAAGTCAGGAAACAACAGGTGCTGGAGAGGATGTGGAGAAATAGGAACACTTTTACACTGTTGGTGGGACTGTAAACTAGTTCAACCATTGTGGAAGTCAGTGTGGCGATTCCTCAGGGATCTAGAACTAGAAATACCATTTGACCCAGCCATCCCATTACTGGGTATATACCCAAATGACTATAAATCATGCTGCTATAAAGACACATGCACACGTATGTTTATTGCGGCATTATTCACAATAGCAAAGACTTGGAACCAACCCAAATGTCCAACAATGATAGACTGGATTAAGAAAATGTGGCACATATACACCATGGAATACTATGCAGCCATAAAAAATGATGAGTTCATGTCCTTTGTAGGGACATGGATGAAATTGGAAACCATCATTCTCAGTAAACTATCGCAAGAACAAAAAACCAAACACTGCATATTCTCACTCATAGGTGGGAATTGAACAATGAGATCACATGGACACAAGAAGGGGAATATCACACTCTGGGGACTGTGGTGGGGTCGGGGGAGGGGGGAGGGATAGCATTGGGAGATATACCTAATGCTAGATGACACGTTAGTGGGTGCAGTGCACCAGCATGGCACATGTATACATATGTAAATAACCTGCACAATGTGCACATGTACCCTAAAACTTAAAGTACAATTAAAAAAAAAAAAAAAAAAAAAGAGAATTCAGCAAGGATTCAGGATGCCAAATCAATATATGGAATCAATTGCATCTCTATATAAGAACAATAAATAAATGGAAAATGAAACATAAAAATAGAATACCATTTACAATAGCATTTAAAAAAGTAAATACCTAGTAATTAATCTAACAAAAGATATGCCAGATCTCTGTGACAGATTTCTACAAACAATGTTGTTAGAAAACTATTGCTGAAGGGTTCAACTTCATTCTTTTGTATGTGAATATACATTTTTCTATTTGTGATAGAAATGAAAGATCTAAATAATAGAAAGATAGGCCAAGTTTATTGTATGTGTATGCTATTTAGACACCTATTCTGCCCTAGTTGATCTTTGGATTCAGTGTAATTCCAATAAAAATTCCCGCATGATTTTTTGAAGAAATTAACAAGCTGATTTTACAATTTATATTGAAGTGCAAAGAACCAAGTATATTAGTCCGTTTTCACACTGCTGAGAAAGACATACCCAAGACTGGGCAATTTGCAAAAGAAAGAGGTTTAATGGACCCACAGTTCCACATGGCTGGGGAGGCCTAACAATCATGGCAGAAGGTGAAAGACACATCTCACAGAGTGGCAAACAAGAGGAGAACTTCCGCAGGGAAACTCCCCTTTATAAAACCATCAAATCTCATGAGACTTACTCACTATCATGAGACTAGCACGGGAAGGACCCACTCCCATGATTCAATTACCTCACATCCCTCCCACAACACGAGGGAATTGTGAGAGCTACAATTCAAGGTGACATTTGGGTGGGAACACAGCCAACCATCTCACCTAGAATAGTCAAGATATTCTGAATGTAGTAAAACAAAGGTGGAGGAATTACCCTACTGTGATGATTAATTTTACCTGTCAACTTGAGTGGGCTAAGGGGTGCCCAGATAATAAGTAAAACATTATTTCTGAGTGTGTACACAAAGGTGTCTCTGAAAGAGATTAGCATTTGAATCAGTACACTGAGTATAGAAGATCACCCTCACCAATTCAGGGGAGCATCATTCAATCTGTTGAGGACCTAAAGAAGCAAAAAATCAGAGAAAGGGTGAATTAACTTCCTCTGTTTGAGCTGGGACATCCGTCTCCTCCTGATGTCTGACATTGGTATTCCTTGTTCTTGAGCCCTTGGACTCAGGCTGAATTATACCACGAGCTTTCCTTGCTCTCCAACTTGCAGATGGTGGATAATGGGACTTCTCAGCCTCTATAACTTAGTGAGCCAATTCTCATAATAAATATATATCTGTGTTCTGATTTTTTTGGAGAAACCTGACAAAAACAACTATTTTATTTCAGAAGAGTTACTGGTATTAATTAGTTACTGGTATTAATCTAGACTGCACATTGCCTTAAGAATAGATAAATAGGTTGATGAATCAGAATAGATACACCAGATATCTCCATGCATTTGGGATCATTTGATTTTCTACAAGAGCACATGTCATTTCAATGGGGGAAATAAAGTCTTTTCAAAAAATCATGCTATGAATAGAATAACCATCACTCCATATACAAAAATTAATTTGAGTGGAATTATAGGCATAAATCTAAAAATATAAAAATCTACCAGAAGAAAATGTATTCACAATCAAGGATGGGCAAAGATTTAGAAAATAACAAGTATTAACCATCAAAAAGATAATTTAGACCTCATTAAAAATAAAAATGTCTGTTTGTCAAGACGCCATTAAGAAATTAAATGGAGGCCAGGCACGGTGGCTCACCCAGCACTTTGGGAGGCTGAGGCGGGCGGATCACGAGGTCAGGAGATCAAGGCCATCCTGAGTAACACGGTGAAGCCCCATCTCTACTAAAAATACAAAAAAAAAAATTAGCCAGGCGTGGTGGCAGGCACCTGTAGTCCCAGCTACTCGGGAGGCTGAGGCAGGAGAATGGCATGAATCCAAGAGACAGAGGCTACAGTGAGCTGAGATCGCACCACTGCACTCCAGCCTGGGAGACAGAGCGAGACTCTGTTTCAAAGAAAAAAAAAAGAAAGAAAAAGAGAAAGGAAAAGAAAAGAAAACAAATTAATGGAGAAGTCCTTGACTGGAAGTGCTTGACTTGACTCTCAATGCACGTATCTGGAAAAGAACGCATACCCAGAACATCTAAAGAACTCCTTCAAATCAAAAATAAAGAAACGAACAACCCAAATTTTTTAAACGGGCACAAGACTTGAACAGACACTTCACACAAAAAAGTGTTATACCAAAAGCCAATAAGCAAACGGAAGGCTCTCAAAATCATGATTAACTGGGGAAACACAAATTAAAAAACAACGAGATACTGCTACACACTCAGCAGAATGGCTAAAATGTAAAAGACTGGCAACACTCTACGTGAAGATAAAAACAATTGGAATGATCATGCATTGTCAGTGGTAGTGTAAAATGGAACAATCACTTTGGTAATTTTATATAAAGTTAAACATTTGGCCACCCATATTCCAGCAATTTTACTCCTAGAAATTTAACCACAAAAATAATAATAATCAGAGCAGCCTTATTCATAATAACCAAAATCTAGAAACAACCTATCAAAGGCGAATGGGGAAACAAACTATGGTATATTAGTATCATTGAATATTATTCAGCAATGAAAAAAATGAACTGAAATATGCAACAACATGGATGAATATCAAAAACATTATGAGCAAAAGGGGAGGACACAAAAGAATAGATAGTTTATGATTTCATTTATGATAAGTTCTAGAACAGTTACAGTTAATCTTTAGTGATAGAAATCAGAACACTGGTTGCTTCACAGGTTCTGGGTCTGAAAACCTGGGTTTGCAATTGTCTTTGATGCTATTTTTTTAAAAAAACTTCTACAAATGAGGTAATTTACAAATAATAGAAGTTTATATCTCACAGTTTAGAGGCTGCAAAGTCCAAGATCAAGGGTCCAACAGATTGAGTCTCTGGGGAGGGTTGGTCTGTCTGCTTCAAAGATGGCACTTCTTACCACATCCTCCCACAGTGGAAGGGACAAACACTGTGTTATCACATGCGGAAAGGGGGCAAAGTCATCTTTTTCAACCCCTTTAATGAAGGCACTAATCCCACTCATTAGGGTAGAGGCTTCATGATTTTACCAGCTCCCAAAGGCTCCACTTCTTAATATCACCATAAGGGTAATTAGGAATAAATGAATGTTGAAGGGACTTATTCAGACCATAGCAAAGTCTCAATGTCACCAAAAATTCCCCAGTCTTCCATCCCACCCTATTCCCTTGTTTCCTTCCCATCCCCTCTCCTCAGTTCATTTTATCATCATTATAATGTTTACAAAGGAATTCCTAGTTAACTCATAGTACAGTCATCTGCAAATTGGAGACATGTTTTCTGTACAGTTTGGTCAATGAGTTTGTTACAGAGGAGAAGGATTTTTAGTATTTTTTAATGAGCTTCAAGACAGACCCCAAACTGTCACTTTTATTCACAAATCTTTTTGCAGTTTTTTCTGATCCAGGTTCCCTGGCACTATTATTTTTTAAATAGCCTGTACTCCCTCAATAATCAAAATTTGTTTCATATACCTTTTCTTTTCCATTTCTTCTTTTCTTCCCCCTTCCTCCTCCTCCTCCTTTGTTTTGAGGCCACTTCTCCAGTAGAAGTGACACTGATTGCAGAGAGAATGGCTGAGAAGTGGAGGGATAGAAGAACTGTAACAGGCAAATAGGATAAAGTTAATGGGGATTAAGTAGGGACCCTCCCCCACATTGGGGAGGAGGGGCTTGCTTTAGGATGGAAACCCAAAGTTTGGCATCCCCAAAGTAACCGTGACCCAGAAGCCGACAGGCCCTCCTAGGGCACGCAGTCCAGCTTCAGAGCACTGCAGTCTCTGAAATTGGTTTGAGATGATCCCAGGCTGCTACAGCTCTCAGAGGCCTGGAAAAGGCACATGTAAAGCCCTCTCAGGAGGGAAGATATCATCCTAGGCCTGGAATTATTTCTATAAACAATTCTGCAATTGCAACAACTGGCACAAACTAAACAATAGCTAAGCACCAAAGGAGGCATGAAAACATGAAGGAACATGAGCAGAAATGTTACACAACATATTGAAACCCAGAGGAGCTCCAGTGATGTTAACAGACACAGATTCCAAAATAAGAATGAATGAATCAATCAAGCAAAATGCATTTCCATTTATTAAAAATAGCCTTTAATTAATTGACTTAGGAAGGATCCTAAGAAAAATGAGAAGTGAGGCAAGGACCTGGAGAGCTTCTGTCTTCAAGTCCCGTTTCTGAGCACTGAAGGGAGGACCCCAACAAGGCCTTGGTAGGGCACAGTCATGGTGATGGTGGTACAGCGAAGCTGCTTGACTGTAAGCTTCATGTCATCACCGATGGCCACAGACAGGGATGCAGAAGGCAGGATTGACATGTGGAATATCACGTTGCCCACCCTCTTCTCTAGGTGCTGTGTCTATGGTGTCTCTTATTCTCTGGATACAATTCAGGATTATTGACCAAGAGTTTTAAACTTTGAGGGGCTCACTAGAACTTGAAGAATAAGACAGGACATCCTTGACAATTTGGAGAGATACAAGATTTACAAAGATGGTTTTGTAGCTGGAATCATTCATAAGATAGGAGATTGGGTGTCATTCAACTCTCAGACCCAATTATATCACCATGAGCTCTACACACCAGAGAGTCAACATTGCCTGTTTGACTGTAGCTTCATGATAATGGGGAGTCTGTCTTTCTTACTCAATATGTTTTTCCCAATATTTATCACATTGCCTGGCATGGAGTAGAGGCTCAGTAAATGTTTGCTGAGTAAATATATAGTCACAAAAAACGTTCAGAATTAGGTGAGGCACCCATTAGCGTATTTTGATGTCAATTAAATTGAAATATACTGAAACTAGGTAACCTACACAAAGTCACTTAAGTCAGTCAATAAAGTGGTACTCAATTTAATAATTAATGATAACTAATACTTAACAGTACTATACTCCAAGCACTATTAAAAGAATTTTACATACAGTAATTTTAAGGCCCACTGCAATCCTATTTGGTAGTTAAATGAGAATCTCTATTTTACAAATAAGACAACTGAAGCACAGAAGGGCTAAATAGGCTGGGTGCGGTGGCTCACTCCTGTAATCCCAGCACTTTGGGATGCTGAGGTGGGCAGATCACTTGAGATCAGGAGTTTGAGACCAGTCTGGCCAACATGGTGAAACCCCATCTCTACTAAAAATACAAAAATTAGCCGGGCATGGTGGCACGCACCTGTAGTCCCAGCTACTCGGGAGGCTGAGGCAGGAGAATTGCTTGAACCCAGGAGGCACAGGTTGCAGTGAGCCGAGATCATGCCACTGTACTCCAGCCTGGGGACAGAGCAAGACTCCATCTCAAAAAAAAAAAAAAGAAAGCTAAATAATTTTCTCCAGTTCCTGTGACTCCTGAAAGAGTTGAGCTGGGATTCAGATGCAGGTGGTCAGGTTCCCCAGCCTAAGCTGTGAACTATCACCTCCAATTCAATGGAAAAATATAGCAAGTTCAATCTCAGATTTCCTCTTTCTAAATGAGTCTTATTGTACCATGCTGTCTTTTCTCTAAATGCAGTCAGTTCAGTCAGGACTGTGTTGATTCTGAACCTTGTTCTCCTTGCAAAAGTTTCATCTTAGATATTTTTATGTTTTCATAACTAGTTAAGTTAGGCATTCTGTTTATTTTAAAAAAACATGCAGAAATATTGATGTATTGAGTCAAAGTGTGCTGTTACCTAAATGAGTTGATTTTTAATGAAAACTAGTCAGTCCTATCTGTAATAAAATGTAGCCCAACACTGTCAAAAGCTACTCAGTAGCTTTTGGGACAGTGCCTTCTCACTGCAGGAAGTTTTACTTAAAACATGTTCATTAAGGCTGGGTGTGTTGGCTAAGGCCTATAATCCTACCTCTTTTTGAGGCAGAGGTAGGAGGATCCCTTGAGGTCAGGAGTTCAAGATTAGCCTGGGTAACATTGTGAGGGCCCATTTCTCAAAAAAAAAAAAAAAAAAATTAGGCCTGGTAGTGTGCATCTGTAGTCCCAGTTCCTTGGGAGGTTGAGGCAGGAGGATCATTTGAGCCCAGGAATTCCAGGCTGCAGTGAGCTATGATCATGCCACTGCTCTCAGCCTGAGTGACAAAGCAAGACCCCAACTCTAAAGAAAAAGAAAAAAAAAAAAAGTCAATTAACTTGCTGGCTATACTAAATTAATCCTTTCCAAAGGGCTTTAGATTTTTCAGATTTAGATGTTTATTGTCCAATTATGAGACATCATGTTTGTGATAATGTAGCAATTTGACTCTACTATTTTTATACATGGCCTAGTGATTTTCAAACTATGGTTTCAGCGAACAGTCTACTGCCTAAATGGGCTGGCTTTCCTGTTTGAAGGTCTTTGGCCTGTTTGTCAGAAAAGAAAAGTTTTCTGTTCCATGCATACATATTTTTAAAGGCATTTCTTTGCTATATCAGCATGCCTGTTTCAGGTAAGTATCAAATATATGCTTCATATCTGTGGTGTGGTAAAATCAATACGTATAAAGTCTTCTATTCTCAAATTTATGTAGACATCAATATTCTTTTTAGCCAGATATGTGAAAATTGGCATCTACTTAAGTCCAATATAGAGCATAAAGAGAATTTTCAGAGAACTAAAGTACCATTTACTAAAATGTAAATTGAAGGTGGTGGACGAAGATAATATAGCATTTAGAAAACAAATTGCATTTTGCAGGCAACACAGAGTGAATCCAGCTGGAGAAATCTCTCTACATTATTAAAAAAAAAAGACTGATGCAAAAGGAAAGCATTTTAGGGCATTGAGAAATGCATTCTCTTATGGGATGAACTATCTCATTAGTGCAAATGTGGTCTTGAACTCTATATGAGGGTGAACCTGAGGCCACAGGCAGTGCCATCGATGGTACACAATTCACTCACATTTGGGCTAATATTATATAATCGAAGGCTTTCTTGGGCTTATCATATCTTGCCACCCAGTGCAGTTCCTGAAGGCCAGGATTGCTTTAAATGCACTCAAAAAAAAAAAAAAAAAAAAAAAAAATCAGGCAGACCCTACTACATTGAGCATTTGTTTTCTGGTTTTGTGCCTTTCTTTCAGCAGGATGGCTATTCCACAGAAAAAATACTTTCAGTATAATAAACTGTCATAACTGTGCCCCAGATCTGCCATTCCCCTTCACATAGACTCTCCATCCTCTGCCATCTTGTTTCTTGCTTGGGAGGTCAACCCCTAAGGCCCATAGCAATAGGTGCTCCTTTCCTCAGGCTTGCTTTTGGGTTAGCAAACAGAGAGTCCCAGCAGATCATCAAAGGGAGAGAGGAAAGCATAGTTGGTTGCCTCAGGCTGGTCATGTCCCTCCACAGAAGGGCACAGTTCTCAAAACACACCATTTTCTCCTTTCAATTTCCAATACCATTATCTCAACTCTTCCTTTTGGTCCTAAGGTTGGCCACACCTGGTATATTAGCCCCAAGGCACTGTACTATCTCGGAATTTCTCTCGGCTCCCGTGCTACCCCTTTTACGTAGTCCCCTTACAAAACACCTCTGCCCCCTCACGAATTATCCTAACTTGAGCGTGCCACCAGATTCTACTTGGGCTTGATTGATGAAGTTAACAGCCTCAGGAAAAAAATGTTTTAAACTCTTAAACGTAATAAATAGCGCTTAGAAATCATGTTAAATTCTTCTGCAAATCAAGAATGTATAACTTTCCTTCTGCTTGTAAAATAAATAGTTAAAACATTTTTAAGTAAAATGACTAAAGAACTTACTAAAGCCTTACTTTATCCTTTACTGGACAATCAACATGTTGCAATATAACCTCTGACTTAAGAGACCATCCTTCATTTTTCACTTAGCACCTGTTACATACCAGACGCTCTGCTAAGCGATGGAGTTGCAGCTATTGATAAGAGACAATCTCTGCCTTGAAGGAGCTCACATATATGCACCGATTATTATAATGCTGTGTGACAAGGGTGATGAGAAGAGAAAGTGTGTTATAACTCAGCTCAAGATACAAGCAAAAGTTTCCAGCAAGAAGAGGGATTTTTTCTTTTTAACTGAAAGAAACTGAACCCTTTTATACCTGGAGGGTAGGAACAAATTTCTGGAAGAGAAGCCAAAAAATAAAGTTAAGAGTAAACATGAAATTAAGGTGTTAGAAGCTAATTACATGTCACTTTTTTAAAAAAGAAACACTTAAACAAGAGACACCTTTTGTTTACGTGGATGATGCAGGGTTGAGTATTTTAAATTATGAAAATCAGTTTCAGCGCTGCAATCCAGAAGGACTCTATCTCCACCCAAGGATTTATGATTACTCAGCCATCTGTGACCAACAGTCCCCACAGAATTGTTCCAAATTTATTCTCCAAAGTTAAGCCTATGATGGAAAAAAAAATCTGGCACCCGGGCAGTACGTGAACATCTGGATTCATTTTGAACAGATAAGAACCAGATACCTGATATTTTAAATTTTTAATGACCATAAGGAATAATGCAGAAATATATTATTCTATTGTAATAAAGTAGAAAGAATTAATTAAATATATTGGAAGCATACTGAAAGTGGTTGCAATACCAAAAGGTCTATGAAATTGCAGAATACTGTTTTGAAGATTTACTTTTAGAAAACAGGAGGCCACAGGGAAAAGATATTGAATCCTAAAAGTCAATTGAATATAGGATTCATTGTCCCAAATTTTGTTTCAATTGGAAGATCGGTCACTGTAACAATTGTTCTTGAAAATGCATTTCAAATTTGAATGTCTGTAAGTTAGATAACACATACATGATATGGCTGGCAAGGGACGGAGTGGACCTCGTTCCCAGAGAACAAAATATAATTATAGAAAAACTAATTCTAACTTGAAAGCCTACAGCTTTAATTACAGCCTTCCTTAGACCAACACACTAACAGAGGAAGGATAATCAGAAGCATCGGCAAGCAGTCCTGATCACTGGGAAAATCTGTCCCAATGTCTACTTTTTCCACAGCCCTTTGTGCTTCTCCAGATTCACTGCAGAGATGAATATATTAATAGATGGAAATGGGCTGGGTGCGGTGGCTCACGCGTGTAATCCCAGCACTTTGGGAGGCCAAGGTGGGCGGATCACGAGGTCAAGAGTTCAGGACCAGCCTGACCAAGAGACCAGCCTGGCCAATATGGTGAAACCCCATCTCTACTAAAAATACAGAAACTAGCTGGGCATGGTGGCAGGAGCCTGTAATCCCAGCTACTTGGGAGGCTGAGGCAGGAGAATTGCTTGAACCCAGGGGGCAGAGGTTGCAGTGAGCCGAAGATTGCACCATTGCACTCCAGCCTGGGTGACAGAGAGAGACCCAGACTCAAAAACAAACAAAACAAACAAAATAGATGGAGATGTAGTTCTTAATCTTGAAAGCTCACATCTATCTCGATTGCATTCTGTTATAGCAGCCTAGACTGAGTAAGACATCTGTACAATCAGAAGCTTGGACAAGGTACCAGTTCTAAGCCAGGCACAGAGGAATCAGGGATGGGTATGTCCTGGCCTTAAGACACAATCTAGTGTAGAGATAATAGGAAGATTCAATAAAGCAAAGCAGTGAGGCTGCTATGGAACACAGAGAAAAGGAACTTAATCCCAGACTTTTTGTGACTCCTTTTCTTCACAGCAGATAAGGCCATGTGAACAATGGGATCATTTGACCTTGAACCCATTGACTCATTCTAGAGTTAGATACAAACCCAACACAAGAAGTAGAATGATATGAAAAGTTACCCTTACATATTTACAAAATTTAAAAGCCCATGGAGGGAATATACAGAAGCATCAGTGGAACAAATTGAGAGTAGAAAATGTTCCCCAAATGGTGATCTCATTATAAGTTAAAGGTAGCACTTCAAATCATTAAGGAAATATTATTTAATAAATATTAATAGCCAACTATACAGCCACTTGTTTTCATTAAACATTTAAATATTTACATGAAAATGACAAATTCCAGAAATGTACCTGGAAAAGGGGTGGATGTAAACAGGCCTGTCTTTCCAGGCCTCAGGAATAACAGCAGAGCAAGGCCTCCAACTCTACTCTTTTGCAAAACACTAGGACGTCATAAGGCCTTCTGTGCAGAGAGCTGGGGATTAGGGTGGTGGCGGGGGGAGAGAGGTCTCAACAAGAGACAATAGCAGGGCCAGAAATAAAAGGTTGGTCCTATGTGATAAAGCAAATCTTGGGCCAATAGTGCCTGTCCCCCAAGAAGCGGACCAGCAAAGGGAGCTGCTCTAGCTTGCCACCAAGAACGATGAATATCCCCTCCTTCCTCCAAATGTAATGAGATTATCTGCACATATTCCTTTATATGAGTTTCTGTATGTTTCCTTCCTGAGAATTTATAAAAAGCCTCTTACTAGGTAAAGTATATGAAGTTTTTAACGTCTGTAATACATATATATATATATATATAAAAAACCAAGATACTTTCTAGAAGGAGTATACCAATTTTTACTCCCACCAACAGTGTGTGATGTGCTGCCAGTATTGAGTAGTAGCTTTTTTTTTATTTTAGCAAATAGGTGAAGAATTGTATCTCGCTGTTATAAATTGTATTTCCTTGTTGCTAATGAGATTCAAATTGCTTTCAACTTTCAGTCGCCTGTGATTATCCTGGTGTGTGTGCATGTGCACACAGATGTGTATGTGTGTGCAAATGTGTGTGTATCCTCTGCTTTAGACTGCTATTCTTTTAAATTGGCTATGTCAGTATAATTTCATCTCTCTACATACCAATGTCTTGTCATGCTGACTATAATGGAACTTGGTCATAAGATCACCCAACATAAGACTTCTAACTGTCAGAGGAAGGTTTTACAGACTGTGCAGAATTTACCTGTTGATAGAGGTTAATTATAAATGTTTGTTCTTTTCTAAATCTTTCCCAATGCCTCAGCGACTTGTGGAGAGATGCCCAAGATTTGGTTTAAGGTAGCTAGACTTATAAATATTTTAGATTAAGTATACAAAATACATTTATTCAATCAGGGTACTACCCCTGATTGTATAGCACCTGTACAGCACTTTTTCTTTCCATTTCAAGTCCAAGTATGGGAACAAGCTCATTATTCTAAACAATGAATAGTACTGGTACCATCTCTTTATAATTTATGTCTTGATTCAACACATAATGCATCTTTTAAAATCATACATTTTTTTCTCGTAAGGGATTCATTTGGCAGGAGACTTTTCTTAATCACATCATGTTTCTTAACAACTCAAAGAGATATTTTAAGACACTTAAATATCTTTCAAATGTTCCCTCCAATTTTTATTTTTAAATCCTTAAATTTCTACTTAGCACAAAGTTTTTCCTTACAACTATTTCTTTTTTAGAATGAATAATAATTCACTGTGAACACATTAATGTAATACTAGTGCAGATCATTTAAAAGCAGTTATTCAAAGTAATAATGCTCATTCTCAGTCTACAATCACTTGGCCACATATTACATCTTGACCCTTTCATTTATTGAGCAACTACTATAAATTGACACTATGCTCTGTCGTCATGAATGTGAACAAGACAAAGACTCAACAATCAAAGTGTTTATAATTAAGGTTGCCAGGTTTAGCAAATAAAAATATTAAATTTTTGGTTAATGTGAATTCTAGATAAATTCTTTTTAGTGTCAGCATGTTTCAAATATTTTATGGGATTTAGTTATACTAAAAAACATTTAGTGGCATGAACCCGGGAGGTGGAGCTTGCAAGGAGCCAAGATTGTGCCACTGCACTCCAGTCTGGGCAACAGAGCAAGACTGTCTCAAACAAACAAACAACAACAGCAAAAAAAATTTAGTTCATCTGAAATTCAAACTTAACAGGGCATTTCATATTTTTTCTGGAAATTTAGTTATGATCTAATAGAAGAATAATAAAAATCATGATGTATTTAATAAAGATAAAATAAACAGTTGTATTAAGCACTAGAAAATAGGAGCTTAAGCTAGGCGTGGTGGCTCACACCTGTAATCCCAGCACTTTGGGAGGCCCAGGTGAGCAGATTACTTGAAGTCAGGAGTTCGAGACCAGCCTGGCCAACGTGGTGAAACGCTATCTCTACTAAAAATACAAAAATTAGCTGAGCGTGGTGGCTCATGCCTGTAATCCCAACTACTCTGGAGGCTGAGGCAGGAGAATTGCTTGAACCCGGGAGGCGGAGGTTGCAGTGAGCCGAGATTGCGCTACTGCACTCCATCCTGGGTGACAGAGTGAGACTCCCTTTCAATCAATCAATCAATCATCATCAATAAAATAGTAGTTTAATCATGCTATGCAAATTGAGAAGTGGAAGATAAGAGAAGGATTTATTAAAGAGTTGTTTCTGAACTGGGTTTCAAGCAAGCAAGTTATATTCAGACAAATGGTAACCACTGGAGTTCCAGAAAAGGGGGAAGGCAGAAGTAATGTTGGACTCAAGAAAAGAGCCACATTTATCCTCATAATTGTGGTCCATTTGGGCTGGCAAAGAAGTTTATACTGGGAGATATAAAACAAGCGGTACCATAAATAATGTAGGTAAGTCTAAAGTGATAAAGTATGAAAAATATGCCGGGCGCCTGTAGTCCCAGCTACTCGGGAGGCTGAGGCAGGAGAATGGCGTGAACCCGGGAAGCGGAGCTTGCAGTGAGCCGAGATTGCGCCACTGCAGTCCGCAGTCCGGCCTGGGCGACAGAGCGAGACTCCGTCTCAAAAAAAAAAAAAAAAATATGCACCACATTATAGTTCTAGTATATTAATTGTAAATTCAAGGGTACAATAGTTCAACAGTACGGCTCGGTGATGTAATTTCTGTCTAGGAAAAACAGCTATTTATATCAAGAGTTATAGCCCCCTCTACTGGTCAAAAGGAGAAAAATCCTCCGTTGATACCAAAATACAGTGGTTGGACAGACTGGATATTTCATTAGAAACCATTTAGTAATATTGGCAGTTTTGTGGAATGTCTTATTTTAAGCTGCACAAGTCTTTTTATAAATACTGCAATTCAGAAACGAATTAATAATACAAAACACTCCAAAAGTTGGGGGATTCCTTTAAAGCCATTAAATGGAAAATGTTAGATTGTTCAAATGAAGCTCACTCAAGTTCTTGCTTTCCTCACCAAGATTAGGGTTCTTTTCTGTCTAATCTGACCAAAAGTCCCCAGATGGCAAACACTAAGTCTGTTATAAAATACATTTTCTAACTACCTATAAAAGAACTATGTGTAAATAAGACTTACTCTGTGAGCCTGTAGAAATACTGCTTTCATCCCAAACCCATGGAAATGAGCACTGCAAGAGCGGCTTAGCAATCTTCAGTTGAAACAATTGGCCCCGAGTGGTTCTTATTGGACCACTTTGGGAGCATTTCTCCAAAGGAAATACTCTTCAGTACACTAAACTTCTTCAGCTGCTAACTTGCTGATTGACTCCTGGGTACCCTCAATTAATCAGCACCACCTGTTTAACAAAAGCAAATCACTCCCTATTGTCTGTTAGATCAACTCTGAAATCTCTCTCTGGCAGGAATTTAATCTCTCCGCCAGCTGGTCTTGACTCACCTGCTCACATTCCTGTCCAAAGCCTGGATTCCAGCGAGGGTTCCTCCTCATTGTTCCCCGCTCTGCCATGGGTCTCCCTGAAAAAAAAAAATCACCCCTACAGGAAAATGTAACTTCTCCTCTCTTTTCAGGGTCTACCTCAAGTCTCCACATCTACTGTACTGTGCAGCTACCACCTACCATGTCTTAACTCTCTAAATCCTTCATATTCATTATGTTTTAGACTTGCTCCTCTATGTCATGTTGTATTTACTGTTTTCTTGTCAATTTCTGAGCCAATACATGTGTAGGACCCCCTGGAAGGTTAATAATTTGGTACCTTTCTAATTCATGTTAGTTACATGTTAATCCAGAAGAGATTCATGGGGTATGAGGAAGCACATAGGGCAGGGACCACAGAGCACAGTCACTACCCTACTGTTTCGAAGACCTTCCTACTTCACTCCCTAAAACACAAGCCCTACAGTATGGCGTATCTCTAAGGGTCTCACCACCCTCTTCCTCACCCTCAAGAAGCTACTTGAAAACATTCATTCCAGACACACATAGTGCATACTCTCAGAAATGATTTGTTTATAGGATCTTCTCGGTCTTGTTATTTTTCTACTGATATTTGGCATGCCCTCCAGACTGAGACACAGCAGTTGCCTGGCTAGCCTACTCTGTGGCCAGCTCTGTATATATTAAAGTAGTGCTTGGCTCCTCAGCTACCATGTTCAGATACTTTATTTTAGTCTTCTGTATGTGCAATGGGATCTGTCATAATTCAGCATACACTAAAACTGTTTTTCTTCTTTTTTTCTTCACCTTTTGAGTTTGGGGTTACATGTGCATGATGTGCAGGTTTGTTACAAAGGTAAACATGTGCCATGGTGGTTTGCTGCATAGATTATCCCATCACCTAGGTATTAAGTCCAGCATCCATTAGCTATTCTTCCTAATGCTCTTCCCCCCTCCACACTGCAGCAGGCCCCAGTGTGTGTTGTTCCCTGCCATATGTCCATGTGTTCTCATGGTTCAACTCCCACTTATCAGTGAGAATATGTGGTGTTTGTTTTTCTATCCCTACATTAGTTTGCTGAGGATAATGGCTTCTAGCTCCATCCATGTCCCTGCAAAGGACATGATCTCATTCCTTTTTATGGCTGCATAGTATTCCATGATGTATATGTACCATATTTTCTTTATCCAGTCTATCATTGATGGGTATTTAGGTTGATTCCATGTCTTTGCTATTGTGAATAGTGCCGCAGTGAACATGCATGGGCATGTATCTTCATAATAGAATGATTTATATTGCTTAGGGTATTATATACCCAGTAATGGGATTCCTGGGTCAAATGATATTTCTACCTCCAGGTCTTTGAGGAATTGTCACACTGTCTTCCATAATGGTTGAACTAATTTGCACTCCCACCAACAGTGTAAAAGTGTTCCTTTTTCTCTACAACCTCACCCGCATCTGTTAGTTTTGACTTTTTAATAATAGGAATTCTGACTGGCATGAGATGGTATTTCACTGTGGT
The DNA here is from genome assembly GCF_000001405.40 of Homo sapiens. Taxonomy (NCBI): domain Eukaryota; kingdom Metazoa; phylum Chordata; class Mammalia; order Primates; family Hominidae; genus Homo; species Homo sapiens. The sequence continues at coordinate 15,900,538 of NC_000010.11, read as the reverse complement.
TTGATTTGCATTTCTCTAATGATCAGAGATGTTGAGCTTTTGTTTCATATGTAAAACTCTGGATAAATACTTGAAAAATTGACCATAATCATGGACAATCATCATTATACTGCTGTCTACCATCTCTGGTTTAAGGGCATTAAGGAGGTTTTACATCAGCATTTTGAATTTGTTTATGTTTTCAGGCTGCAAAAGTACAATTCTTTAAGGTATATGTATTACTTCAATAGAAGAATGCCTTACATACCATATAGTTACTTTAGCAATTCCAAACAACCTAAAGAATTTAATTTCTAGCCATATGACTGACAAATTAACCTGACGACACCAACACTAAAGCACTAGAAAAGCTAAATACAAGTTAGCAAACATTCTTCTGGGGCAAAGTACCTAAAAATACATAAGAGAAAAAGGATATTATCCAAAAATGTCAGGTATATTTGACAAAGAACCAAACATAAAATTGGAATATTTATTAGAAAGTAAATTTACTTGTTATAGCAGAAAACCCCTAAATATTCAAACTCTAAGACTATTATATTCACTTCTTTGACATAAGGTTTGTGTCTGCAATTATGTCTCAGCCATTGTGATCCAGAACATCAAGCTATTTTGTGTATATTATATTCAGGATTGAATTTCAGCCAGGACACAGCATAGTACATGAGACATGGCAGATACCCAATAACAGTTCGCTACATTGTTTGAAATGAACAAACCACCTTAGACTAAGTACTCTGATTTAATTAGCAAGCATCAATTTGATTTGAGAGCACCTATTATCTATTAATGAAACAAAAACAGCAGAATATATATATACACACACACACATCACACACACACAATTTATCTGATGAAGTTGCACACTAGGTATACCAGTTGTTCATTGCTACAAAGCAAATTGCTACAAACGTTGTGGCTTTAAGCAATATTAATTTGTTATATCACAGCCAGGTAGGTAAGTAAGAACTCTAGGATGACCTGACTCATTCATGGCTGGATTCTTTTCATAGGGTCTCCCAGTACCGAAACCACGGTATCAGCCGGTTGGTCTATTATTTGGAGTATATGGAAGAATCCACGTCTAAACTCATCCAGATTGTTGGCAGAAGTGGAGGTCCCCGTTTCCTTGCTGGCTATCAGCTGGAAGCCACTCTCAGCTCCTAGAGGCCACCTGCATTCCTTGGCCTCTAGGAGCTGGGAGTGGTCCCATCCATCTTTGAAACCAGCAAAGATGCATCAAATCCCTTTCCAAGCTTTGGATCCCTGATTCGTTTCACCAGTCCATTAAAACTTGGCTTTTAAAGGGGTTCATGTAATTAGATTTTCTCCCTTTTTGCCGTATAATATAATAGAATTTATAATCATGGGAGTGGTATCTCATCATATGCATATTTTCCACGGCACTCAAATGGAATAGAATTACACAAAGGTAAGGACTATTGGGGTCTTCTCTAGAATTCTGCCTACTGCATGCCAAGTGTGTTACTTAGTTGGTAGTTATGCTATATATTAAAAGAAGATAGAACATGGCCAGGTGCAGTGGCTCACACCTGTAATCCCAGCACTTTCGGAGGCTGAGGCGGGCGGATCACCTGAGATCAGGAGTTCGAGACCAGCCTGACCAACATGGAGAAACCACGTCTCTACCAAAAATACATAAATTAGCCGGGCATGGTGGCACATGCCTGTAATCCCAGCTACTTGGGAGGTTGAGGCAGAAGAATTGCTTGAACCTGGGAGGCAGAAGTTGTGGTGAGCCGGGATCATACCATTGCACTCCAGCCTGGGCAACAAGAGTGAAACTTCGTCTCAAAAAAAAAAAAAAAAAGAGAGAAGAAGATAGAACATATACTTATTAATTTAACAAACATCTATAGCACTCCATGTACCAGATGCGATTACTACAAAGATTAATAAACCATAGTCCCTGCCCCCAAGGAGATTGACTTATAAATATGTCTTTACTGTGGTGAGTGCAAGAATGGAGAACTCTTGAAGATATAAGAGATGTGTCTGAAACTTGACATGGGACCCAGATGGGTACTAGCACGAGATACTAAAATCTAAGCAGCATATCAGATGGTAGAGGGCCTTGCACATCATGCTAAGGGATTTGGTTGTATTCTGTAGTTGATACAGAGCCCTTGGTAGTTATCAAGCAAGGGAATGGCATGAGATTCCTGCAAACAGCAGCCATCCAGACATTGACAATGTCACTAGCAATAAATAGTATAATACCAGCTTCAGCATATGCAGACTGACTCACTATTATCCTTACTGTTTGGGGAGAAGCAAATTCTAACGACCTAGTGGCCAAAAATATTAGTGCAATTTTCAAAGGAACCTAATTTGTTAACTCAACCATCATCTCGGCACTGAGAAAATCTGACTCAACCCGGCATCTCTTCCATCGATATTCTGTGACAAATTTCTAATTCACCATAATCTACTATGTCATCCTTCCAAACTTTCATGACTTTCCCACCCACCCTCTGCCAGGCTTTTCAACTACCCACAAAAAAAAAGATTTTTTTATAGACTAGAATTGAAGTTTTGCACACATTTGTTTTTTAAAAAGCTGCACATTTTTTACCTGCTGTTGCTTCCTGAGAAAAGGTTACAGGAATCTCAAGTAAATTTTAATGAGTTGGCTTCTTGGGTCTCAGAACTGATTTATGTAGGGAAGCATTTGAGATTTTGTAGTAAGTGCATGGTTGACATGAATTATCACGTAGGTGTACACCATTCCACATACATAGTCCTCTTAGTTTAAAGAGTGTCCAAGTTACAGAAACAGAATAATTTTTAAATGTCACTGTTGGATCTCTGCTAACTACAAAGAACTAAGTATTTAGAAAATCAAATTTCTGCCTCCTAGAAGTGACTCATCATTAACTTCTTGTCAGAGGAATATATTGTTTAAAAAAATAATAAATGCGGAGCAGGAACGACTATTTCCTGATTAAGAGGAGAAGAAAAAAAATCAAGTAACTCCCTTTGCATGACTGTCCCTACTCATGAGTCCATCCTGTTCTCCCTCCTGTTAGCAGACATGTGTATGACTCATGAGATTCTATTTGAAGTTTCAGCTCTGCTACTTTCCTCGTAGAGTAGCATTTTCTGGCAAAATCTATGAGGTAATGAAATGGAGAAGCCTGAGCTTTCAAGATTCCTGACTACCAAGAAGACAGGTCAACATTTTTAAACAGGAAGGCTCAAAAATCAAAATAGTAATATTTAAAGGAACATAATGTCATCTCCCCTAAATATTTTAAAAATCCATACCACGATAAGGTAATGGGAAGTTTTAGGGCTTCTATAAATTAACTTCTGAAATATCTAAATTCCTCAAAAAGAATTTTTATTCAATTAAAAAAAATGCTTCTTAACACCTACCATGTTCAGGCAGGATACTCTGCATGGGAAATACAATGTCGAATGAAGCGCCTTGTCAAATTCTATTTTAACCATAGGGTGTGGGGAGTTTATATCCTGGGAAACCTTCAAATATCAACCCCCCACCCATGCATTGCAACCATGGAAGCTTTACTGATCTTCCCAGCTGAGGTAGAAGGTAGGTGGGGCTTGACTCTGGAACAGATTGAAGACTGGCCAAAACCTGGAAGAGGCACAAAAAACACCTTTCCATAAGACACACCTACCAGCGCCATGACAGTTTACCATCACCATGGCAACACCCAAAAGTTACTGCCTATTTTCTAGCTATTTCCTGAACAACACACCTTTTCATTAGCATGAAGTGGGTATTAACATGACTGCCAAACTGCCCCTAAGCTGCTACTCTCTGCACGTTGCCTATGGGGCAGCCCTGCTCCACAGGGGCAGTCACGGAACTGGAACACCGCTGATGCCTCAATAAAGCTGTTTTCTTCTACCACCGGCTCACTCTTGAATTCCTTCCTGAGCAAGGCCAAAAACTTGAGCTAAGCCCCATTTTGGGGGCTCACCTGTCCTGCAACACAACCGGATGTTATAACTTCTTCCTGTAAGGAATCAACCGTATTTAGAGCCTTTAGCCCATTCTTCTTCATATTCAAGTTATTTATTCAATTGTCCTTTTAATCACCATTATCAAAACAACACAGTTCACCATATTCTAACTCCCCCAACACATCCCTTTATGAACTACAAATCCTCCGAGACAAAGACTTTCCATTTCTTCTGTAGCCCTCAAAGCAGAAACGTTAAGAAAATATTAGACAAATTGAAATATTTCAGTTAATTACCTTTCATTTTCTATAACTCTGACTCAATGAAGAGTCCAGTTGTATGATGTGAGTTCATAGTCACAGCACCTATTCCTGTGGCCTTGTAGAGTTACAGAAGAATCTATTATTTTGCCATTCTCAGGGTTAGCAAAATTTCCTAAAAACCTAAATTCCATTGAATAGTACTAAGAATATGTTATTCTCTGATATAATAGTAGACAATAAATTTTCTATAATTTAAGGGATGTCTTGTACAATTTCAAGAATAATTCCCAGTCGGTTGGCATCTATAAAGCAGGGCAGGCAAAATTCTATAGGAAAAGAGCCTTGTGAAATTTCACAGGTGGAAAAGTCAGCCTCTCCTTATCTTACAAAAACACAGTAATTAGATCATTTTTCTCAATATATATAAGGATACTTAAGTCTTCATTTCAATATCACTTAAGATATGGATATTTTGGATAATTAACAAATAGATGCTTTCTGTACCTTTGGAAAATTAAATAATAGGCTTTGAAAATAATATTCAATTCATTTAGTCTATTAACAGGGTCCAAATGCATGAACGTTCGGGGCAGACTAGAACACCTGTCTTTTGACCGGAGTTCTGCTGATTGGTAGATAGGTGCCATGGTTGCTACCAACAGCTGTGGGAGATAGGTTGTGAGTGATTTTTTGCTGGTAAGTATGTAGCCTTACATTTTGCATGAGGTATAGACATATTGAAAATAACAATATAATTGCCACACTGAACCATACTCTACTATTCTAACACTCACCCCCTGAAATCAGCATCCTTGCTGCATTGACAAACTTTGTAACAATGTTCTGTTTTAACTTTATTCCCCTAATATTATTAATCATTATTCATATTTTGGAAGAAAAATCTACCACAGCACTATCAACCTAATCCTCTATTCATCAATGTCTGGTAGGAGAAGTTTCCCAAGAAGTGCTCCTTCTTGGAGAGGAGAGTGGAATGTTTCATAAGATTCTGGCAAAAGAGCATCACCAAAGTCAGCAAGCACAAATTATTCTTGCATCTTAGCAGTCATTACTTGGGCAGCTTGGTTTCATCAAGAGAAGTGAAGAGAAATAGTCATTGGATAAATTCAAGTGAAGGCAAGGTGGGGAAGGACAGCTGCCAGGGACAATGACATGCAAATACCACAGTGGGTAATTCTTTTTTTTTTTCAACTTTTAGTTTAGATTCAGGGGGTACATGTGCAAATTTGTTACATGGGCATATATTGTGTGATGCTGAGGTTTGAGGTATGAATTATCCCATCACCCAGGAAGTAAGCATAGTACTGAATACCTAATAGATAGGTTTCCTTTCTTTCCTTTTTTTTTTTTTTTTTTTGAGACAGAGTCTCACTCTGTTGCCCAGGCTTGGGTGCAGTGATGCGGTCTCAGCTCACTACAACCTCCGCCTCCTGAGTTCAAGCAATTCTCCTGCCTTAGCCTCCGGAGTAGCTAGGAATACAGGCACCCGCCACCATGCCCAACTAATTTTTGTATTTTTAGTGGAGAAGGGATTTCACTATGTTGGCCAGGTTGGTCTCGAACTCCTGACCTCAAGTGATCCGCCCACCTCGGCCTCCCGAAGTACTGGGAATACAGGCATGAGCCACTGCCCCCAGCCAGGTAGTTTTTCAAACCTTGCTTCTCCCTCTCCCCACTCTTATAGTCCCCAGTGTCTATTATTCCCATTTTTATGTTCATATGTACTCAATGTCTGGCTCCCACTTATAAGTGAAAATATGTGTTACTAGGTTTTCCACTCCTGCATTAATTCACTTAGGATAATGCTGCATCCATGGTGCTGCAAAGGACATGATTTTATTGTTTTTCTGGCTGCATGGTATTCCATGGTGTATATGTTCCCACAGTGGGAAATTCTCAAGTCTCAAGTCCTGCAGGGTTTCTCACAAGATTAAGTTGATTGAAAGTAAAGGCTAAAACAAAATAAGAAAGTTGGCTCTTAGCAATAAGTAACAACAAAACTCCACTGTAAGTAGATACCTTCTAGCTCAGGACATTACATCACTATAGTACTGTACATACTATAGTACATATATACTATGTATGTATATGTACTATATGTGTATGTGTACCGTATATGTATATGTATTATATATAGTACACATACATAGTGTACTGTACACATATACACATATAGCACTATATACTATAGCATACATATATATACATATGCCATATATAATATAGAATATACACATATATGTATACTATCTATATACACTATATGTAGTATACATACACATATATATAGTATATATGTATCGTATATACTATCTCTGTAGTATACACATATGTGTATATATAATATACATGTACTATAGTATGTACAGTACTACAGTATATACATATATACTATAAAGAGTATACACATATACTATATACATATACTAACTATATATACAAATACACTACATATAGTATATCAGTGTATACTATTATAGTGTGCATATATACATAGTGTACATATGTAGTGCAAAGTATAGAATAGATCATTATATAATAACTTAATGAATTTTGTTAAATATTTATTCAACTCCTGCTGAGCAAAGGATATTAATTTTTGTCAACATGTTGCAAAATGATGCAGTTACTTCTTGGTAGGAGGCAATTTGGTATAATGGCTACACTAGGTCTTTTTGTGATTTGAAAAAATATTAGCCTTGGTTACATGATTTTATAGATTTTTCTGTTTTGATTGTTGTTAAAACTACAAAATTAATTTTACTTTGTGTATTTAGTTGTTCATTTGAAAAAGGTATTAGTACTATACGTAAAGTGTTTTGCTAGGGCATTATAGAAAATGAAGTATTTGACTTGGAGGCTTTAATATGCTTGGGATAAAAGTGCTAAGATAAAAATAGGTTAGCAATATCAATGAGAATCTTTGGCACAAGAAAAGTAACTATATGTTTATTTTCCATATCATGCATCTTTACTTCTTTATTTACAACTAATAAAAAATGAGAAAATATAATACCTTTAAAAATCATCCATAATTTCACCTTCTGGTAATAAATGATATTAAGACTTTATATCTTTCAGCCTTTTTTCCATACATGTAAGTGAATTATATGTGATAAGGAAAAAAAAACAGCATCGTCAGTTCTGTGCTGGCTGGGAATCCCATGGCTGACAGCAGAGTGCCTTGGTTGTTTACTGTCCAGAATGAGGTTGTAGGGGATGGGGAGATACAAGAGGAAGCAAGGTTGGCTTGAATAAGCTACAGAGAAAAGAACATAGCATAACAAAATAGATCTGGAATGTGGAAGGAAAAGAGAAAAGACCAGTCCAGTAAAGACTGTGGTGTGACACTTTAGGTGATCTGGAAAGACCCAGTAATGCTTTGAGTAGAGGTGACAGAGAGAGAGGCAGACAGAGAATGAGAGAACAGAAGAAAGTTTAAGAAATGTATGCCATTTACATTTAAATTGCTTTTCAAATTTTGGGAAGATGTCATACTTCTAATTATTGAATGAAGACCCATAGGTGATTCAACTGAAATGAATATATTTCCATATTTTCATGACACCTGTTGGATTTGTGCCCAGCTCTACGCATTCCCTTTTTTTCCAGTAACAGCATCAAATCCCCAAACCTATTCCTGGCAGCAACACTTGAAATGACATAATCTATTTCCTTGGCCATATTTCATACACTAAGGATAGACATCATATATGTGTATATTCTTGGTCCAAGTCTCTCTAGGAATTTGAAGCTGGAATTTACAGAATGCCAAGCAGTGTCTAGATATAGCTGGACTGTAATACATAAAGTTGGGAGTTCTGGGATAGACATAACCCACCACATGGATCATGGAATTAAACAGAGAGAGAAATGAAAGATGAAGAATACTGACAACTTTTTAATACGTGGGTGAGACTTTTCTTGGGACATTTCTCATAAGAAGTAGCCTTGGGATCCTTGAGATCTCTTTGTTTTGTTAAAATAAATTCCTTTTTTTCTTTGTTTTGACTATTCAGGTTAGCATGTTTTTTTTTTTTTTGCAACCACACACACACACACACACACACACACAAACACACACACAGATGTTTGGTAACCTGTCTTTTCTCATTCAGTAATATCATAAGAACCTTTTTCATATTAATAAATATAGATTTACCTCTTCTACATCAATTACTGCATAATTTTGCATTGAAAAATGCCCCATAACTTATTTAACTAATCCCTGTTTTGTGCATGTTTTGCTTTAATTAACAATCTTTACACATACATCTGCATACTTAATTGATAATTTCCTTAGGACAAATTTATAGTAGCATACGTACTGGATCAAAGAGTGAATATTTCTTTTAAGACTTTTGAGACATGTTGACAAATTATCTTAAAAATATGTAACAATTCATCAAAAATAGCTGTAAGTATTTACTAGTTCAATAGGAGGTGAGACACACATCCTGTTTTAAGGTACACCCCTTTGATCACTAGAGCAGTACAATATTTATTCACATGTAGGTCATTTTCTTTCTTTGTTAATTATACTTTTACATTCTATTCTTAATTCTTTTTTTTCTTTTTTTTTTTTTTTAGATGGAGTCTCACCCTGTCACCCAGGCTGGAGTGCAGTGGTGCAATCTCGGGTCACTGCAACCTCCACCTTCCGAGTTTAAGAGATTCTCCTGACTCAGCCTCCCAAGTAGCTGGAATTACACGTGCACGCCACCACACCCAGCTAATTTTTTGTATCTTTCGTACAGATGGGGTTTCACCATGTTGGCCAGGCTGGTCTCAAACTCCTGACCTTGTAATCAGCCCGCCTCGGCCTCCCAATCTTAACTCATTTTTATAAAGGTATATGGTTTTGTGTCCTTGATTTGTAAGAGATCTTTTAAATATATTAAAAGTAAGGAGTTCTGAGATAGACCGGGATCATGGAATTAGAGAGGAGATGAAAGATGAAGAATACTGACAACTTTTTAATATTTTAAATATATTAAAAGACATTTTAAATATAAATCTTAGTCCTTTTTTAGCATATGTGCTACACATATATTTCCCTAGTTTGTTATTTAACTTTCATTTTTCTGTCTGGTGGATTTACGACCATTTTGTTTTAAATTTTTCTTAATTTATCATATGGCAATCTTAACCTTCTACATTTCTGCCTCTGAGAATACACTTAGAAATTCCTCTTGCATTCCAAGATTACATAACCAGTCAATTGGTTCTCTTAGTTTTTCCAGGAAGGGAATCATATGATCATCTCTGTTCTATTATTTAAAACTGTTTTTCCTTTCTTCTTCCTTCCTCCTTTTTCTTTGTCTCATTACATTGACTAGAATTTCCAAAAAAGAAAAAAGCAACATAGATAGTAGGCATCCTATGTCTTATTCCAAATTTCATTGGAAAAACTTGTAGTGTTTTTCTGTTAAGTCGATGTTCGGCAATTGGATTCTGAAGCACACTGTTTATGCTACCAAAGTAACTTGCTGTTCACAGCTTCCTGGGAGGTTCTGTGCAGATTGGAAGCTGACTTTGCAAATGCCGCTTCAGCATCTCTAGAGCTAATTTTTTCTCCTTTGACCTATTGATGAGATAAATTATATTAATAGATTTTCTGATATTGCACCATCCTTAAAATCCTAGAAAAAATTTAATTTTGTTATGATGGCATTATATGTTTTAATTCCTCTTTGAAAACCTTAAGATTTAAATTCTTAAGTATTACTTATTTATCATTTTTATTTTTCTACATCTTTTTCAAGTACTTATAGTATGAATACACTAGCTATAGAAAAAGAATTCAAAATGTAATTTCCTATTACTGTCTAATAACAGTTAACTGTGCAGAGGAGGTCTGTTCTATTATTCACCCTTTCTCTGGTGATAGTAACTACCCCTCTCTCTGTTCTTAACCATGTGGTTTTGTGGGGGTTTTTAAAACTTTTTTTATTATGGAAATTTTCAAACATATGGAAAAGTAGGGGAATACAAGTAAACTGAATACAAAAATAGGGGAATACAGTAAACTGAAATACAATGAATCCATCATTTGGTCCCAGCTTCAAAAATGACCATATTCTTCACAATTTTTGTGTGTGTGTGATTTTAAGGAGCAGAGAGTTTAATAGGCAAGAAAGACAAGAGAAGGCAGAAGGAAGAAGCTTCCCTGTACAGAGACAGGGGGTCAGAGAGGGCTCCAAAGCCAAAAGAGGAGGTCCCTCCCCAATTTTTTCATTTATTCCCCCTCATGTTTTAAAAATTTAATGCTTGGCATCGTGTGATTTCACAGTAAATTCTTCATGATGTATCTTTTTTTTTTTTTTTTTTTTTTTCTTTTTTTGAGACGGAGTCTCGCTCTGTCGCCCAGGTCGGACTGCGGACTGCAGTGGCGCAATCTCGGCTCACTGCAAGCTCCGCTTCCCGGGTTCACGCCATTCTCCTGCCTCAGCCTCCCGAGTAGCTGGGACTACAGGCGCCTGCCACCGCGCCCGGCTAATTTTTTGTATTTTTAGTAGAGACGGGGTTTCACCTTGTTAGCCAGGATGGTCTCGATCTCCTGACCTCATGATCCACCCGCCTCGGCCTCCCAAAGTGCTGGGATTACAGGCGTGAGCCACCGCGCCCGGCCCTTCATGATGTATCTTTAAAGGATGCAGTGAAATGAACCAATGAAGTGCCTTAGTTCTTTAAGCTTAGAAGTTTTTGGTTGGTTTTTTACTTCAAGCAAAACAACTTAACTAAGGAAGATAGCACAGTTTGTGTGTCTAGAACATTTCACAGGCCTTGCTCATACATTCCTGAGTTTAATATGTTTGAGAGACCACTCCTCTAACGTAATCTTCGCATTTCTTCTATGATTATTAATCAGAGTTCCTCTCATATGCTTTATGTGTTGTTTCAAAAATAAACTTTTCTCTTCACTGCTTTTGGTTTATTATTTTCTCCTTTTTTCTCTATTTCTCCTATACCTTTCTCCTATAGCTCTTTGGTATATTTTAATGTTCCTTTATTAGGTTTTATTGAACGGTACTTTAGTTAACTTATATCTATGACTTGTTGCTAAATAATAAACAATGAGGTCATGAATTTCTCATATTTTATAAAGTTAATAGTTTTACTTTGGTCCAGAAGTTATACAGGAAAATACATGTTTCTAAGTAGTTAATTTTTATTATTGATCTTTTGTTATTAATTTCAATATGATGCCTTTGTGATTAAAGAATGTGTTCTGCACACTTTACACATTTACTGAGAAATATATTTGTGGCCGAATACACCATTGATTATGAGAAATGTTCGAAGGCACCGCTTAAGAGAATGTACATCCTCAATATAAAATGCAAAGTTTATAATATTTATACATGTGTCCTAATCTGCTTCATGTTGCTATAACAGAATATTTGAGACTGGGTAATTTACAAGGAAAAAAAGGTTTATTTGGCTCATGGTTCTGATGGTTGGAAAGTCCAGGATTGGACTTCTGCATGTGGTGAGGGCCTCAGGCTGACTCTACTCATGGCAGAAGGTGATGGGAGCTGGTATGTGCAGAGATCACACGGCAACAGAAGAAGCAAAAGGGAAAGTGGGGAAGTGCCAGGAGCTTTTTAACAACCAGCTCTCTCGGGAGCTAATAAAGTGAGCACTCACTAACTGCAAAGGAAGGCCACTAATCTATTCACCAGGGATCCTCCCTCATGACCCAAACTCCTCCCATCACCCCCACCTCCAACATTCGGGGTAAATTTCAACATGAGGTTTAGAAGGATGAAACATCCAAACCATAGCAACATGTATGTATGTAACTGTAAAATCAACATTTTTTGTTGTTATATTAGTCACAGTGTATTTCCAGAAATACAGAGGACCATATATCCTGAAAAATTCTCCCAAACTACCCAGGAATGAAATACACCTGTAATCCCAGCACTTTGGGAAGCCTAGGTGGGTGGATCACCTGAGGTCGGGAGTTTCAGACCAGCCTGACCAACATGCAGAAACCCCATCTCTACTAAAAATAAAAATAATAATAATAATAATTGGCCAGGTGTGGTGGCATATGCCTGTAATCCCAGCTGCTCAGGAGGCTGAGGCAGGAGAATCCCTTGAACCTGGGAGGCAGAGATTGCTGTAAGCCGAGATTGCGCCATTGCAATCCAGGCTGGGCAACAAGAGCGAAACTCCATCAAAAAAAAAAAAAAAAAAAAAAAAAAGAAAGAGAGAGACAGAGAGAGAAAGAAAGAAAGAAAGGTAGATAGATAGATAAAACAAGCCTCTTTAAATGAAGAGCCAAGCATCCAAGTATAAGAAAAATTCTTAGGAAAAAAAATAAGGTGTTTAGAAAGCTGAAACCTGAGTGGTAGTTGAAGCTGAAATTTATGGATCATGTGTTTTGTGAAACTTCTAGGGAGCAGGAAACAAGGCCTTGCACCTACTTAAGGGAACTGGGACTGAGGTGCCCACCACCCACGCTTATTAAAGGTTGCAGGGTTTATCACATACGTAAAAGTAAAAGGACTGGCAATAATAGCCCAAAGAACAGCAAAGATGAAATATAGGTACAACATTGTGAGATTTGTATACTCTGTATGAAGTGGTGAAAGTAGATGGTAATTTATTAAAGACATATAGTAAACCGGCCAGGCGTAGTGGCTCATGCCTGTAATCCCAGCACTTTGGGAGGCTGAGGTGGGTGGATCACCTGAGGTCAGGAGTTCGAAACCAGCCTGGCCAACATGACGAAACCCCATCTCTACTAAAAATATAAAATTTAGCTGGGCGTGGTGGCGGGTGCCTGTAATCCCAGTTACTCAGGAGCCTGAGGCAGGACAATCTCTTGAACCTGGGAGGCAGAGGTTGCAGTGAGCCAAGATTGGGCCACTGCACTCCAGCCTGGGCGACAGAGTAAGATTCCATCTAAAATAAAATAAAATAAAATAGATACATAGCAAACCTAGAACAGCCACTAAAAGATAAAGCCAACAAAGGAGATAAAATGGAATTCTGAAAAATACTCATTTGTTCCAAAAGAAGGCAGGAAAAAGAGGGAGGGAAAAAACAAATATAGGACTAACAGGAAACAAATAGCAAGAGTTAAAGATTTAAAGCACAGTAACTTGATAAATACATTGACTGTAATTTAAGTGAACCCAGTGGACTCAGAGTGAAACAGACCTGGGCCAGGACTTCATCGATTTCCTTTCCCCTGTATACACGTGTCTGGGGCGTGGGATGGGGGCTCTGTGGGGGAATGATACTACTTAGGGTCTTTGGATATCAGTTCCATCTTGGATCTGTATCCAACAGCTTGCAAGATAGCTGGGTCTTGTCCTTTCTCCAGTGTACATTTATCCAAATAAATGGCTCTAGGTGTCTTTGCTGAAGGATTAAGACAATCACTATTTCATACACGTGCTGTGGAGTTGCAGAGTTCTTTTCTGTGAAGACTCTAGCTCTCTTCTTCAGTCGATGAGTTCAGAGTGAGAAAGCTCAAGCCTGGGTACTGGACAAGGGCTAATTTTTTTTTTTTTTTTTTTTGATACAGGATCTTTCTCTGTCACCCAGGCTGGAGTGCAGTGGTGCCATCATAGCTCACTGCAGCCTTGAACTCCTGGACTCAAGCAATCCTCCTGCCTCAGCCTCCCGAGTAGCTGGGGCTACAGACATTTACCACCGTGCCTGGCTAATTTTTTTTGTTTTTAGTAGAGACAGGGTATCACTGTGTTTCCTAGGGTGGGCTCGAACTCCTGGCCTCAAGCAATCCTCGTGCCTTGGTTTCCCAAAGTGCTGGGTTTACACACATGAGCCACTGTACCTGACCTGTTTGCTTTTTCCATGTGAGATGGGTAATGTGCCCATGTTGCAATAAGGTTTGGGAGTGACACATCTCACACATGCATGCATGTGAATACTCAATCATCACACTTACAAACTACCAGAGGATCTCATCATTTTCTGTTGAAGCACCCACCTCAGCCTCTGCTCATCCATGCTTTTTTTTTTTTTTTGAGATGGAGTCTCACTCTGTCGCCCCTGCTGGAGTGCAGTGGCATGATCTCAGCTCACTGCAACCTCCACTTTCTGAGTTCCAGTGATTCTCCTGCCTCAGCCTCCCAAGTAGCTGGGATTCCAGGTGCGTGCCACCATGCCCAGCTAATTTTTGTATTTTTAGTACAGATGGGGTTTCACCATGTTGGCCAGGATGGTCTCGATCTCTTGACCTAATGATCCACCCACCTCAGCCTCTCAAAGTGCTGGGATTACAGGCGTGAGCCACCACACCCGGCCCGTTCATCCACTCTTTATGTCTTTTGACTGCATACAGCAAGCAAGGCCTTTATTGACAGCTTCTTTGGACACTGTGATGCACCACTCAGATGTCCCTTCTATGAAAGGCTTGAGGTCCCAGATGCTGGGATGCTCTCTGAAGACACCTTTGAACTGCCAGCATCCTTACGTATCATCCAGCTGTGGAGACACTGTCAGCTAAGGTCATGCTCCTTCCCAGAATGGCCCACATCCAGTGACTGCTTGGTGCAGGAATATAACGGGCTAGCATCCCCACTCAACTCAAGATAATACTAAAGGGCCATTTCAGCTCCAGGGCTCCCCTGCAGTCAGCCAAGACTGGTGTTGGGTCTGCCACAGAGCTGGATTTCCCTCCGCCCAATCCTGCTTCCATAACCTGCCTTCCACAGGTATTGACTCCAAGTGCACCCTAAATTCTGCCCTAGAGCCTGCGACAGTTGATCCCAGAAGTATTCTGTGAAAGCAGGAGATAAGATGGGGTTTTGAAGATAGCACCTGCCACTGGCTGCAGTAAGGACCACATCCGTAGGGTTAGGCAGAACACAGGTGCTCCCAGAAACTTTCGCTGGTGGTAAACCGGGATGGCAGATCAGTAGTACAGGGGTGCACTAGCTGGTATATCAGAGATTTGAGAAAGATGGAGGGAATCACAGCTACAAGGTCAAGAAAATTGGATGAGTAGGGTTCAACTGTGTTAAACTCTGGAAATAAGTAACAAAAATCTGAGACTTATTAATGGAAAACTATGTCTGAAAGCCAGATGGTGTTCTTTGTCATATACCTCTCATTGGGAGGGCAGTGAGAACTGAGGGCCATGTCCAGGTATGAATTGTGGAGGTGACTGAGCTCCAGGGAGAGTTAAACTAAAATCAAAGACAGATCCACTATTCTGAGGTCAGGGTTTGGTTTAGAAAGAATAGATCCTGGCCAGGCACTGTGGCTCATGCCTGTAATCCCAGCGCTTTGGGAGGCTGAGGCAGGCAGATCACTTGAGCCCAGGAGTTTGAGACCAGCCAGGCCAATATGGGGAAACCGTTTTCCTACCAAAAATACAAAAATTAGCTGTATATGATGGCCCATGCCTGTAATCCCAGCTACTCAGGTGGCTGAAGCAGGAGAATCGCTTGAACCCGGGAAGTGGAGGTTGCAGTGAGCCGGGATCGTGCCACTGCACTACAGCCTCAGTGACAAGAGCAAGACTCCATCTCAAAAAAAAAAAAAAAAAAAAGGAAGGGAGGAAGGGAGGAAGGGAGGAATGGAGGAAGGGAGGAAGGAAGGGAGGAAGGGAGGGAGGGAGGACGAGAAGAAGGGAGGGAGGGGAGGAAAGGAAGAAAGTCAGAAAGGGAGAGAGAGAGGGAAAGAAAGAAAGAAAAAGAAAAGAAAAAAGAAAAGGAAGGGAAGGGAAAGAAAAAAGGAGAGAGAGACAGGGAGAGAGAGTGGGAGAGAGTCCTGACACACAGGAAGGGGGTATCTGGTTTGATGCTCTCCCCAAATCTTGAATTCCTAGATGTCTTTGACTCCTTGGAGCCTGCACAAATGCCCATTCTTTGTGTTAAAAGCTAGCATGCTCCACCTTGCCTGAAGACAATGCTAGAAATCTTTCCCTTGCAAGTTGAAATGTGCCCCACCTGAGATCTGCTTTTAAGTCCTTTCCTGGCCTCTCTAGGCCTATAAGCCAGGTGAAGTCCTAACTTAAGCCAGTCAAGAATGTGCTGGGCCTGATAAGGAAAGAAAGGAAACTATACTTCAAAAGGATCTGCAAGACTTAGCCTGTGCACACTAGAAATATATATTCAACAGTGAGCTCTGCAGTTGGTCCCACTAACCTTCCTCTTCCTGGTATCCCACAGACACACCAGCTGGAAGAGCAGTTCCTAGAAAGCATGTGACAAAGTAGACACAAGAGGTAGACTGTAGTGAACACTCTAATACATCACCCAGGTCCCCAGTAAATTAAGGGCTCATGGCTCCAGTTTTTAGGGATGTTATTGTCAGATATGCTTCAGTTGACGAACCTTTTGGGATCTGTCAGTGGCAGAGAGCTGCCTTACCCAACATTATACCCCATGATGGTTCATTTTATGGTTCAACCTGCCTGGGCCAGGAGATGCCCAGATATCTGGTGACACATCCTTTCTAGGTATGTCTAGGAGGATGTTTCTAAAAGGGATTAGCATTTGACAAAGTAGACTGAGTAAAAAAGATGCCCTCCCCAATGTGAATGGGCATCATCCAATCCATCGAGGACCTGAATAAAACAAAAAAAGGGAAGAAAGTTTGAATTCCCTCCTTATCTGATTGCTGGAGCCTGGACATTGATCTTCCCCTGCACTCAGCACTCCTGCTTCTCAGGCCTTCAGTCTTGGAGTGGAATCTAGAGAACCAGCTTTCCTGGATCTCCAGCTTGCAGGTGGTAGAATCACATCCGCCTCCAGAATCAGCCTCCATAAGCCTCTACAGTCATATGAGCCTATACCTTATAATAAATCTCTGGAGCGAGATGGAGATTCAGATGTCTGTCCCATTAGTTCTGTTCCTCTGCAGAATCCTGACTAATACCTGCCCCTTCCCAAGGTGGCCAACATCTATTCATTGATCAGTGTGGGACAATAAGGCCTGGCCATCCCAACCCAACTTGGAACACTGCTAAAAAACTATGTGAGTTTCACAGCTTACCCTGCGGGTCAGCCAGGCTTGTATGAAGTTCATTTCCCTCGGCTTAATGCCACTTTCTTTCCCTCAGTTTCATGAGTTTCAATCCCAAGGACATACCTGAGTGAACAACCTGCTTCCTAAACACCAGCCTCTTTCTAGAAAACCCAACCTGTGACAACGGCTCAGCACTCTTGCCCTTAGGAGAACCATGTCATCTCCCAAGTTCCCTGCAGATCAGTTTCCCCTGAATGAAATTCCAGTCTTGCTACCTGTTATAGTAATTATGTTCATCTTTCTTCTGATTCTTAAAGGCTGCCTCCTGGCCTCTGCTTTCCTGGGATCTAGTACCCTCGTTGCTACTAAAATGCTCGGTTCTGCAACACCATCAGCTACCTTCAGCCCCAACCTACAGAAGACAGACTTTCCTGAGGTTCTCAAAATGCTGGTGCCCCTTCACCTCACCAGGGCATTTCTTATCAATTGGGCAAATGTAGTATTTTCTAGACCCTCCTGAGGACAGTCAGCTGGTGGGTTTTCTGGTTAGGTACAGTAGACTCATTATAGCATTTTCAAGTCCTTGAACACCCCTTTCTCCACAATCTCTCATGGATTTTCTGGCATCTCTACTTCTGTTAAGAGGTGTATCAGTTTTTCCAAGCTAAAACCATGCTTACTAACTGTTATTTAGCAACACATCAAGAAACTTTATAATAGAGAAGTCTTGAGAGTCACCACTTTTGTCACTCAGGTGATCAAAGTAAACACCATTGGACAAATTAAAATCACATGAGAGAATGCAGTGAGAGCACAATATCCCCTGTGAGAGACTCCCACCCAGAATCCATAACCTAGATCTCCTCATGAGGAAACATGAAACAAACTCAGATCGAGTGACATTCTGCAAAACAACTATCCTAGTGTTAAGGTCATTGTCGTGGGCAGAGCTGTGTCACCCCCCAAATGCATATGATGAGGCTCTAACTCCCCAGTGTGACTATATTTACAGATAGTGCCTTTAAGGGGGTAATGAAGGTTAAGTAGTCATAAGAATGGGACCTCCCATAGAACTGGTGACATTCCAAGAAGAAGAAGGGAGAGCGAGTGTGCTCTCCAAGCTTGCACAGAGGAAAGGCTGTGTGACCACACAGAGAGAAGGCAGCCGCCTATTAGCTAAGAAGAGAGGCCTCACAAAAACGAACCCTGATTACACCTTAACCTTGGACTTCCAGCTTCTATAACTGTGAGAAAATGAAGGTCTGTTGTTTAAGCCACTCCTTCAGTGGTATTTTCCATGGCAGCCCAAGCTATCACAGCCACATTTATGGAGATCTGCATTTTTCTACCATCCCTCTCTCTTTTCTTCCCTACTTATTGACATTTTAGCTAATATTTCCTAGCTTTATGATTCTTTTTCTAAATAAGGAACATTTCTTCTTGTATCCTACTAGGGCTGTAAACAATGTCCAGAGATTTACTTCTTTGAGTATTTTCCAGGGGAAGTGTGTTGTGTTCTTGCAGCTCCAAGTCTGTTTTCTAGGAACTTCAACAAGGATAAATCAAACTCTCATTTTTATCAGTTCTAAGTTAAAGAATATGATGCAATATAATATATGACCACTTTGCATAAAATTTCTGTAAAAACAATTAAGAGCTATAATTTTTAACGAATAAAAAGCATGCTTACTGCTATCAAGAAATATAAAGTCTCAAAATTAAAAGTTCATCCTCATTAAAAAAATCACTGTTCACTTCCCTGACATAAAGGAAAAAGGGCAAAAGTGTACTCTGTTATCTCTCACAGAATGGATAAGAAACTGCAAACAAACTTTAAGAGAGTGTAATGGCAGATGGGAATTGAATAATAACAAAATAAGTCTTGGATCTGCCCTCATTCTCTTTTGTGCCAGGCAAAAGTATATTTTCCGCTCTTCACTTACTACCCCAATTAGAAAAAAAAAAATGCCAGATCTGAAAGTCAAAGAGGTCCTGCATGCACAATTTAAACCTTATTGAAGATAGAACCATATGGCAACACAATTCATGGAAAGGATAGGGGGAAAATATCTATTATCACAATTTAATAAAAACAACACTTGGCGGGGGGCGGTGGCTCACGCCTGTAATCCCAGCACTTTGGGAGCCTGAGGTAGGCGGATAACGAGGTCAAGAGATCAAGACCATCCTGGCCAACATGGTGAAACCCCGTCTCTACTAAAAATACAAAAATTAGCTGGGCATGGTGGTGCATGCCTGTAGTCCTAGCTACTCGGGAGGCTGAGGCAGGAGAATCACTTGAATCTGGGAGGTAGAGGTTGCAGTGAGCTGAGATCGTGCCACTGCACTGCAGCCTGGTGACAGAGCGAGACTCTGTCTCAAAATATATATATATTTTTATTATATATATTAAAATATATATGCAAACATATATTTGTACAAATATAAATATATATATTTTACAAATATATATGTACAAATACAAATACATATATTTGTAGCCAGATGCAGTGGCATGTGCCTATAGTCCCAGCTTCTCAGGAGGCTGAAGCATGAGGATCACGAGCCCAGCAATTCAAGGCTGTAGTGCGGCATGATCACGCCTGTGGATAGCCACTGCACTTCAGCGTGGGCAACCTAGTAAGACTCCCATGTCTAAAAGGAATAAACAAATAAAAGTAACATTTGTACTATTCTATACACTGTATTTGTCCTCTAAACTTATTCACTTACTCTACAACAGAGCAACTATAGTTAGAGTTAAAATTTCATCTGTTCAGTCTCCATTGTGGAATAAAAAAGAGAACATAATTTAGAGAGATCCAGCTTTTAAGTCTGGGCTCCAACTCTTACTTTCAGAGTAACTTTTGAAAATGTATCTTAATTGTGAAATGGGGATTGTGACAGAGTTGCATAATAAGAATGAATGAGAATAAACTCAAGAATAAATTTCAGAATGTGTCTGTGAACCACAGATATATGCTGTGTAAATGAAAACTACACATTCAAACTTAAACCAAAGGAAAATGATTTTAAGAATATTTCCCAGTCTATTAATAAAAGAAAGAATATGTTCAGTGTATTGATAATTGCATCATTTAATATATAGCCCCTAACTTGGATGTCTGCTCCCAAATAAATCTTATTTTGTCTACTTTGAAACTGAATTTTTCATCTGCTAACCTATTCATCCAATTTATCCAAATGGTTCTAAATGTTTGTTTCATTTCTTGATATTTCTGTTGTTTACAGTTTTAGCATTACTAAAGAACTGTATCATTTTCAATTACTGTTTTTTCTGATCATCCATTACAACAATGTAGGACTAATTAGCTTAGAAGAGCTGGCTGTTGCTGAAATCCCTGAGGAGAATCACAAGAAGTCTCAAACTAATTTCTCTGTCAGTGGCTCATGCCAACTTCCTATTACCACCTCCTGTGATCATGCTGTGACTTTGACAACTACCCTTGAGGAAAAAGCTTTGCCAGTTTACAACAGTGAATTGCAGGCAGAACAAAGAATGGGGTAGAGTCTGATGTCATCCTTTCTTTCTTCTCTTTATGACAGGGCATATGAGGTTACCCATCTCAAGCTGTCCACATGACTTGCCACAACTCGAAAGGGATCTCCACAGTGTTGTTTCTGGCAACACATAGCTACAAAGAGATCTTTTGGCAGAGCTGTGACCCATGTCCCATGTTATATTTAATGGTATATGTAAAGAAAAAAACACAAATCTTGACTTGCTTTCCTTGGTATTGCAAAAAACGTGAATTTTTTTTTTACTAATACCCAGTAGTTTTTTAAATTTATAAAATGAAAATAAGATGAGAATTTTCAGGAACAAAAATATTAAAGCAGATATTCTCTATATATCAGAATCTATAACTACCTATTATGAATATTATTTTCGGTTTTTCATGACTTTGTAGACAAAATAGCAGACATATAGTGTGCAATTTCTAGACTTAATATACATGAGAAGAATTCAGGCAGTTTTGCTCTGCAATATAACTTTAACCATATAACATTTTTTAAAACCCTAAAGTCAAAGTTTCTCAGGGTGCAAAAGCAGCTCTAAAAAAGCTGAGATGCTTATCAGTGCAAGTAACGACAAAATATTTTTCTTTCACAACATTCAAATTATAATACAATGGCACCACCTGTTGATGGAATGGCAGAATTGAATCCTAAGACTGCAACACAATATCAAATGTTTACTGGAATTTTAAATCAAGGGATAGAACATAGGTCATTGACCATTGAACAGATAATATATCAGTGAGATGGCTAACTCACATTTGATGTGGTTATATCAATTGCTACTTTGACATTCTGGCATTCTGTAGAATGGCACAGCATTTCCTTAAGTGCTAATCATTGCATGAACATAAGAAAATGTATAATTAAGATTAGTTTTCTTACATATATTTAAATGTAAGTTTTAGAGAAAAAGTTTTTCTAACATTAAGTTTTTTCTTCCAACACATAGTTACACTGGATTGAATATGAGTGTTCTGCAGAACACATTTTGGGAAAACTAAACTCACTTTTTGGAAACACGCTGGACTGGATAAATAACCAGTAAACACATTTAAAAGTTACTCTTATAACATAGCAAACATACTCTCAAAAAAAAAAAAAAAGAAAAAAAACTGTGTCAGAGGCTTCCAAGACGGCTGAATAGGAACAGCTCCGGTCTGCAGTTCCCAGCAAGATCGACGCAGAAGATAGGTGATTTCTGCATTTCCAACTGAGGTACTTGGTTCATCTCACAGGGACAGGTTGGACAGTGGGTGCAGCCCATGGAGGGGGAGCTGAAGCAGGGCGGGGTGTTACCTCACCCAGGGAGTTCAAGGGGTCAGGGGATTTCCCTTTCCTAGACAAGGGAAGCTGTAACGGTCTGTACCTGGAGGAATGGTACACTCCTGCCCAAATACTATGCTTTTCCCACAGTCTTTGCAACTGGCAGACCAGGAAATTCCCTCCCGTGCGTGGCTCAGCAGGTCCCAGGGCCACAGAGTCTGGTTCACTGCTAGCGCAGCAGTCTGAGATCGACCTGCAACGCTGCAGCTTGGTGGGGGGAGGGGCATCCGCCATTGCTGAGGCTTGAGTAGGCGGTTTTGTGCTCACAGTGTAAACAAGGAGGCCAGGAAGCTCGAACTGGATGGAGCCCACCGCAGCTCTGCAAGGCCTACTACCTTGCTGTAGATTCCACCTCTGTGGGCAGGGCATATCAGAACAAAAGGCAGCAGACAGCTTTGGCAGACCTAAATGTCCTGTCTGACAGCTCTGAAGACAGCAGTGGTTCTCCCAGCACCGTGTTTGAGCTCTGAGAACGGACAGACTGGCTCCTCAAGTGGGTCCCTGACCCCCCATGTAGCCTGACTGGGAGACACCTCCCAGTAGGGGCTGACAGACACCTCCTACAGGAGGGTGCCCCTCTGGGATGAAGCTTCTAGAGGAAACATCAGGCAGCAATATTTGCTGTTCTGCAGCCTCCGCTGGTGATACCCAGGCAAACGGGGTCTGGAGTGGACCTCCAGCAAACTCCAACAGACCTGCAGCTGAGGGGCCTGACTGTTAGAAGGAAAACTAACAAACAGAAAGGAATAGTATCATCATCCATAAAAACCACATCCACACCAAAACCCCATCTGTAGGTCACCAACATCAAAGACCAAAGGTAGATAAAACCACCAAGATGGGGAGAAAGCGGAGCAGAAAAGCTGAAAATTCCAAAAACCAGAGTGCCTCCTCCAAAGGATTGCAGCTCCTCACCATCAAAGGAACAAAACTGGACAGAGAATGAGTTTAACGAGTTGACAGAAGTAGGCTTCAGAAGGTTGGTAATAACAAACTTCTCTGAGCTAAAGAAGCATGTTCTAAGCCATTGCAAAGAAGCTAAAAACCTTGAAAAAAGGTTAGATGAATGGCTAACTAGAATAAACAGTGTAGAGAAGACCTTAAATGACCTGATGGAGCTGAAAAACACGGCATGAGAACTTCGTGACATATGCAAAAGCTTCAGTAGCTGATTTGATCAAGTGGAAGAAAGGATATCACTGAAGGAAGATCAAATTAATGAAATAAAGTGAGAAGACAAGATTAGAGAAAAAAGAGTGAAAAGAAACAAACAAAGCCTCCAAGAAACATGGGACTATGTGAAAAGACCAAATCTACATTTGACTGGTGTTCCTGCAAGTGACGGGGAGAATGGATCCAAGTTAGAAAACACTCTAAAGGATATTACCCAGGAAAACTTCCCCAAATTAGCAAAGCAGGCCAATATACAAATTCAGGAAACACAGAGAACCCCACAAAGATACTCCTTGAGAAGAGCCACCCCAAGACACAATTGTCAGATTCACCAAGGTTGAAATGAAGGAAAAAATGTTAAGGGCAGCCAGAGAGAAAGGTCAGGTTACCCACAAAGGGAAGCCCATCAGACTAACAGCAGATCTCTCAGCAGAAACCCTACAAGGCAGAAGAGAGTGGGGGTCAATATTCAACATTCTTAAAGAAAAGAATTTTCAACACAGAATTTCATATCCAGCCAAATTAAGCTTCATAAGTGAAGGAGAAATAAAATCCTTTACAGACTAGCAAATGAGGAGAGATTTTGTCACCACCAGGCCTGCCTTACAAGAGCTCCTGAAGGAAGCACTAAACGTGAAAAGGAACAACCAGTATCAGCCACTGCAAAAACATGCCAAATTGTAAAGACCATCGACACTATGAAGAAACTGCATCAATTAATGGGCAAAATAACCTTCTAAGATCATAATGACAGGATCAAATTCACACATAACAATATTAATCTTAAATGTAAATGGGCTAAATGCCCCAATTAAAAGACACAGACTGGCAAATCGGATAAAGAGTCAAGAACCATCAGTGTGCTGTATTCAGGAGACCCATCTCGTGTGCAAATACACATGTAGGCTCCAAATAAAGGGATGGAGGAAGATCTATCAAGAAAATGGAAAGTGAAAAAAGCAGGGGTTGTAATCCTAGTCTCTGATAAAACAGACTTTAAACCAACAAGGATCAAAAGAGACAAAGAAGGCCATTATGTGATAGTAAAGGGATCAATTCAACAAGAAGAGCTGACTATCCTAAATCTATATGCACCCAATATAGGAGCACCCAGATTCATAAAAAGAGACCTTAGAGACCTACAAAGAGACTTAGACTCCCACACAATAATAATGGGAGACTTTAACACTCCACTGTCAATATTAGACAGATTAACAAGACAGAAGGTTAACAAGGATATCCAGGACTTGAACTCAGCTCTGGACCAAGCAGACCTAATAGACATCTACAGAACTCTCCACCCCAAATCAACAGAATATACATTCTGCTCAGCACCACATCACACTTATTCTAAAATTAACCACATAATTGGAAGTAAAACACTCCCCAGCAAATGCAAAAGAACAGAAATCACAACAAACTATCTCTCAGACCACAGTGCAATCAAATTAGAAGTCAGGATTAAGAAAGTCACTCAAAACCGTACAGCTACGTGGAAACTGAATAACCTGCTCCTGAATGACTACTGGGTACATAACGAAATGAAGGCAGAAATAAAGATGGTCTTTGAAACCAATGAGAACAAAGACACAATGTACCAGAATCTCTGCGATACATTTAAAGCAGTGTGTAGAGGGAAATTTATAGCACTAAATGCCCACAAGAGAAAGCAGGAAAGATCTAAAATTGACACTCTAACATCACAATGAAAAGAACTAGAGAAGCAAGAGCAAACAAATTCAAAAGCTAGCAGAAGGCAAGAAATAACTAAGATCAGAGCAGAACTGAAGGAGATAGAGACACAAAAAACCCTTCAAAAAATCATTGAATCCAGCAGCTGGTTTTTTGAAAAGATCTACAAAATAGACAGATTGGTAGCAAGACTAATAAAGAAGAAATGAGAGAAGAATCAAATAGATGCAATAAAAAATGATAAAAGGGATATCACCACTGATCCCACAGAAATACAAACTACCTTCAGAGAATAGTATAAACACCTCTACACAAATAAACTAGAAAATCTAGAAGAAATAGATAAGCTCCTGGACACATACACCCTGCCAAGACTAAACCAGGAAGAATTTGAATCTATGAATAGACCAGTAACAGATTCTGAAATGGAGGCAATAATAGCCTACCAACCTAAAAAAGTCCAGGACCAGATGGATTCACAGCCGAAATCTACCAAAGGTACAAAGAGGAGCTGGTACCATTCCTTCTGCAACTATTCCAATCAATAGAAAAAGAGGGAATCCTCCCTAACTCATTTTATGAGGCCAGCATCATCCCGATACCAAAGCCTGGCAGCGACACAACAAAAAAAGAGAGAATTTTAGGGCAATATCTCTGATGAACATTGATGCAAAAATCCTCAATAAAATACTGGCAAACCGAATCCAGCAGCACATCAAAAACCTTATCCACCATGATCAAGTGGGCTTCATCCCTGGGATGCAAGGCTGGTTCAACATATGCAAATCAATAAATGTAATCCATCACATAAACAGAACCAATCACAAAAACCACATGATTATCTCGATAGATGCAGAAAAGGCCTTTGACACAATTCAACAGCTCTTCATGCTAAAAACTCTCAATAAACTACATATTGATGGAATGTATCTCAAAATAATAAGAGCTAATTATGACAAACCGGCAGCCAATATCATACTGAATGGGCAAAAACAGGAAGCATTCCCTTTGAAAACTGGCACAAGACAGGGATGCCCTCTCTCACCACTCCTATTCAACATAGTGTTGGAAGTTCTGGCCAGGGTAGTCAGCCAAGAGAAAGAAATAAAGGATTTTCAATTAGGAAAAGAGGAAGTTAAATTGTCTCTGTTTGCAGATAACATGATTGTATAATTAGAAAACCCCATCGTCTTAGCCCACAATCTCCTTAAGCTGATAAGCAACTTCAGGAAAGCCTCAGGATACAAAAATCAATGTGCAAAAATCACAAGCATTCCTATACACCAATAACAGACAGAGAGCCAAATCATGAGTGAACTCCCATTCACAATTACTACAAAGAGAATAAAATACCTAGGAATCCAATTTACAAGGGATGTGAAGGACCTCTTCAAGGAGAACTACAAACCACTGCTCATCGAAATAAAAGAGGACACAAACAAATGGAAGAACATTCCATGCTCATGGATAGGAAGAATCAATATCATGAAAATGGCCATACTGCCCAAGGTAATTTATAGATTCAATGCCATCCCCATCAAGCTACCACTGACTTTCTTCACAGAATTGAAAAAACTACTTTAAAGTTCATATGGAACCAAAAAAGAGCCCGCATAGCCAAGACAATCCTAAGCAAAAAGAACAAAGCTGGAGGAATCGTGCTACCTCACTTCAAACTATGCTACAAGGCTACAGTAAACAAAACAGCATGGTACTGGTACGAAAACAGAGATATAGACCAATGGAACAGAACAGAGACCTCAGAAGTAACATCACACATCTACCACCATCTGATTTTTGACAAACCTGACAAAAACAAGCAACGGGGAAAGGATTCCCTATTTAATAAATAGTGCTGGAAAAACTGGCTAGCCATATGTAGAAAGCTAAAACTGGATCCCTTCCTTACACCTTACACAGAAATTACTCTAGATGGATTAAAGACTTAAATTTAAGACCTAAAACCATAAAAATCCTAGAAGAAAACCTAGGCAATACCATTCAGGACACAGGCATGGGCAAAGACTTCATGACTGAAACACCAAAAGCAATGGCAACAAAAGCCAAAATAGACAAATGGGATCTAATTAAACTAGAGCTTCTGCCCAGCAAAAGAAACTATCATCAGAGTGAACAGGAAACCTACAGAATGGGAGAAAATTTTTGCAATCTACCCCACTGACAAAGGGCTAATATCCAGAATCTACAGAGAACTTAAACAAATTTACAAGAAAAAAAACAAACAACCCCATTAAAAAGTGGGCAAAGGATATGAACAGAAACTTCTCAAAAGAAGACATTTACGCAGCCAACAGACTTATGAAAAAATGTTCATCATCAATGATCATCGGAGAAATGCAAATCAAAATCATAATGAGATACTATCTCATGCCAGTTAGAATGACGATCATGAAAAAGTCAGGAAACAAGAGATGCTGGAGAGGATGTGGAGAAATAGGAACGCTTTTACACTGTTGGTGGGAGTGTAAATTAGTTCAACCATCATGGAAGACAGTGTGGCAATTCCTTAAGGATCTAGAACTAGAAATACCATTTGACCCAGCGATCCCATTACTGGGCATATACCCAAAGCATTATATATCATGCTACCATAAAGACACTTGCACACATATGTCTATTGCGGCACTATTAACAATAACAAAGACTTGGAACCAACCCAAATGTCCACCAATGATAGACTGGATTAAGTAAATTTGGCACATATACACCATGGAATACTATGCAGCCATAAAAAAGGATGCAAAAGTTCATGTCCTTTTCAGGGATATTGATGAAGCTGGAAACCATCATTCTCAGCAAACTATCACAAGGACAGAAAACCAAACACTGCGTGTTCTCACTCATAATTGGGAGTTGAACAATGAATGAGAACACATGGACACAGGGCAGGGAACATCACACACCAGGGCCTGTCAGGCCTGTCGGGCCTGTCGGGGGGTGGGGTGCTGGGGTAGGGATAGCATTAGGAGAAATACCTGATGTAAATGACGAGTTGATAGGTGCAGCAAACCAACATGGCACATGTATGTATACCTATGTAACAAACCTGCATGTTGTGCCCATGTACCCTAGAACTTAAAATATAATAAAAATTATGAAAAATAAAATAAAAAACACTCATGCAAAAACAAAAAAAACCCACCTTATACTTGCAAGAAAGTAAGGGATACCCCATAGGAAAAACCAGAGGAAGAACCCAGAAAATAAGAGCAACAAACCAACGAACTTAATATTTTTCAGCTGTCCTGGAGGAAAGAATATGTATTTTGAGTGGCGGCAACTGGTTTCAAAGTTGTTTGGTTTGAAGGGCTCAAGACAAAATATAATAACTTGAACTTGACTAGTGATGTCACCAGTTGAAACTGAGCCATTCAAATGGCTGTACCATTAGTGCAAGTGTGGAATAGAAAAAAGAAATATCTGCCAGCCCAGGAAAAAAACATGGATGCTTGTAATCTTGACCTGGGATCTAGATGGATAAGTAAAATGTCAGTTCTGAGAATTTTTGATAATGGAGTTCCTGGCATGGGCTCAAGTTCTTCAGTCCATTTTCTATGTGGTCCAGGAATGTTTCAGCTGAGAAAGCAACATAAAATTGGCCTGTGGTTGCATCATGCATAATATCACTGGAATTACCTGGATGAACCACATTCAAAACCCTTTAGGGGACACGTACTCTCTTTAGACCATATAACCAGATAGGATTCTTGCAAAAAAAAACAAAAAACAAAAAACAAAAACAAAAACAAAAAAAACCTCCATTGAACATGGGTTCATAACTCATAAATCAGAAAACTAAAATGAAAATATTTTATTATAAGTGAATTAGTAAATACTATCATAAAAGTTCAGACAAATCTGGGAAACAATGAAATGGAACTTGTATAAATAAAAATATGTTATTGAAATTAAAAACCCAATAGGTTGGACAAAACAGATAAGACAGAGCTAAGCAGAGAATTAATACATGGAAGACTTTATTGCAGATATATAATGCTCCAGAGAGAAAGAAATGGAAAATGGGAAAGAGAAATTGAGCCATGGAAGATGGAAGAACTAAGCCCAATGTATGTCTATTCAGATTTCCATAGATGAACAAGAAATGAAATGATGGAGAGAAAATATTAAAAATGAAATGGTTGAAATGTTCTGCAAACTGATGAAAGACACAAATTCCCCAAATAACAATGTATAACACTCCCAAGCAGGATAAATAGAAGTGAAATACCTAGATAATCCAGTGGAACAGCAGAAACTTAAAGATGAGGAAGCAATCCCAAATGCAAACAGAGAAACAAGACAGGTTTCCTAAAAAGGAATGACAATTAGATAAACCACCGACCTTTCAAAAGTAACAATACATGGCAGACAACTGTAGAAAGCTATCTTTAAGGCATGCGAGAAAGCAACTCACAATATATTCATTTATTTCATGTATTTTATTTTTAATTTATTAGAGATGAGGATTATTTTTTCCTATTCCACACTTTCACTAATGGTACAGCAATTTGACTGGCTCAGTTTCAATTAGTGAAATCACACAAGTTCAACTCACTATCTTCTGGCTTTAGCCCTTAAAACCAAACAACTTTGAAACCAACTCCCACCCCACGAAACATATACACTTTCTTCCAGGACAGCTGAGAAATAGTGAGTTCTTTGGTTTATTTCTCTGATTTTCTGGGTTCTTCTTCAGATTTTGCTTATGGGGATATCTGTTACTTTCTTGCAAGTATAAGTTTTTGAGAGTATGTTTGCCATGTTATACAAGTAATTTTAAATGTGTTTACTGGTTATTTATCTAGACCAGCATATTTCCAAAAACAGTTTATTTTATTTTCAATTTAATAATCATAATAGAGACAAAGTCTCATCCCTAAAAATAAAGAAAACTGTACCTACCTTATGTTAGTTAAATGAGTTAACATTTGTAACTCTTAAACAGGGCTGGCTCATAGTAAATGCCATGCAAATGTCTGTTAAATAAAAATAAAATACATAAAATCCACCCTCCACCTTTGCCTCCTGAGTAGCTAGGACCACAGGCGCAAGCCCGGTGGTGAGCATACCCTTAATTTTCATTTCACTGGTGAAAAAACTGAGGAAGAGTTAGGTAAAGCAACATTCTCAAAGTCACATGTCTAGTAAGAATTTAGACCTTGGAATTTTATCCCACCTAAATTATCACATAAGAATAATGACAGAACAGGTCAGGGGTGGGGGTACACGCCTGTAATCCCAGACCTCCAAAAAATTAGCCAGGCATGGTGGTATGTGCCTGTAGTTCCAGCTACACTGGAGGTTGAGGTGGGAGGATCATTTGAGCCTGGGAGTACAAGGCTCCTGTTAGCCAAGGTGGTGCCACTGCACTCCAGCCTGGGCTACAGAGTGAGTCACTGTCTCCAAAAAAAAAAAAAAAAAAAAAGAATGACAAAAATGACAAAAATAAGCACCTTCTTTACAAATCAAATCAATGTTTAATGACAATAAAATTTATCATTACAAGAATTCAAAAACTATATGCTTTATGAAATGGGAAAAAAAATCCAAAAAGAAAGAAAGGTAAGCAAAGAAAGTGACAACTAGGACAGTAAACCTGAACAAACCTTGACTATAAAAACATAACACATATGAAGACTAATTATAGAGATTACACAAAGGTGAAGTAAATATTGGACACTGCCTTTCTTCTAATATGATCTTACAGATTAAATGAATTATTTGTTAGATAGATATAACAACTCTAAATGTGTGAATATCAGATATATAATATAGCAATATCTAAAGCAGTGCTCGATACAACAGCAAGAAAAGTATTGACAAATCCACCTCAACAGTGGGAGATTTAACAATCTCCTAAGTGATTAACTAGATTTAAACATTTTTTAAGGCTGTGGATGGATAAAACAATTAACTAATTTCTTAAACTGTTAGTAATACATAAAATCCTCTACCAAAAAATCAGAGAGCTGATAATTCTTCTCAATTATGCATGAAATTTTTAAAAAAGTTGACCATAAACTAAGCCTAAAAGTAACTTTCACCAAATACCAAAGTATCAGGATTATAAAAACAATTGTCCTCTGAACAAAACATAATTAAATTAAAACAATAATAAACAGATAACTCTAAGAGACGTCTGAAGGTTTAAAATCTACTTGTAAATAACAAATGGGTTAAGGAAAAAAATGGGAATCATAAAACATTTGAAATGAATGGTAATTATAAAAGTAGTATATATCAAAATTTGTATGAGACTTAGATTGTAATTTTATAGCACTAAATGTTATATTAGAATGCAGTAGGAAGGTTGAAAAATAATGAACCAATCATCCAACTCAAGGAGTGAGAAAAACAACCACCAAAAAACAGAAGGTGATTATTTTGCAACTCTCAATGGAATAATTGATTCAAGCAAGAATTTTTAGTGGCTGCTAAACCATTAAATAAAAGGCTAACAGAGAATTGAAATGACACAGAGCTAAGGTAGAGCCCACAGGTTACTTGCAGGGCGACACCTTACATGAATAATCAATGTTAGCAACACTAGTAATTAGATGACCAGCTTTTGGTGTGATGCA
The DNA here is from genome assembly GCF_000001405.40 of Homo sapiens. Lineage (NCBI taxonomy): Eukaryota > Metazoa > Chordata > Mammalia > Primates > Hominidae > Homo > Homo sapiens. Next base: position 15,869,010 of record NC_000010.11, on the reverse strand, counting down.
GTAAGAAAAAACATAACATTATTCTTAAGATATTCTTGCAAAGAAGTGTTTTGCCATCTAATTAATGTACTCAAATTAAATCGAATCAAATCTTTCCATCTAAACTTCCGATTTACGCGAAATTCCAAAACCTAAGCAAGGTACAAATCAAACATTCCTACAAGGAAACAATCAGACAAGGAAACAATCAGAATCAAACGTTCTAAAGGAAAATTGATACCATCTCTTCAACAAATTAATGTCATGAAAAAACAGGGGAAGAGGAATGTTCTACGTTAAAATATTCTTTAGAGAAATGCCATATGTTGTCATTGATCAAATCGTGACCTGTCAAAACTAGCTCTAAAAGGCGTTGTAAAACTTAATGGAGACATGCAGATAAAGAGTGATAATAAATTACTTTAGGAAATTATTAATTTTCTTGGATGTGATAATGTGGTTGTGTGGGAATGTTTTAATTTTCAGAGACGCATTCTGGAATAACTAGGGAAAAATTGTTATCACATCTGTAATCAGTTATTTTAAAATTTACCAAAAATAGATGAAACAAATGATTTAATTATTAAATCTAGGTGTGACAGGTGTTTATTATACCTTTCTCTCCATTTTTTCATATGTTTGACATTTTTAATAACACATTTCAAAAATAAAAACCAAAGAATGTAGAAGCAGCCTTGGGGGCTCTACTGTTGTTTGCTTTTGAAGGTGCAAAAGACCTCTGTCTGTCCATCTAGGCTCCAATCCCGCCTAAGGCTGCTTCCCAAAGCCGCAGAATGTTCAACACAATGCCCAGGGGCAGACGTCATTCATTCTTCAACAAGCATGACCTTCTGCCTGGACAGACGCCATGCTGCTGATCATGACATGAATTGAACCAGGGAGTTTGTTAATGATCATATGCCTTTTCCTACCCGGGTTTTCTATGCAACATTCCAATATCAGTTTTTAGCCAAGCAAATCTGGACAGCTTCTAAGAGAACCAAGAAAATTGGGAGAGAGACTGGGATAAAATTAAAAGCAGTTTCAACTCATAGAATCAATTTTGTTTTACTATCACTGACTTAGTTCAAAACTGCCAGACGTTCTTTTCTGGGCATCCAAATCCATTCAGTTTCTGAGCTTTCCCCAAAAGAAATTGTCATTCTTCTTCCAGACTATGGAAGAAGAGTTCAATATTGTACCATAATCCCCTGCCTTAGCCACAGTCTCTCTTTCCAATTTGTTACCCATGGTCAAGAAGGTTGCATATAATACAATAAGATATTTTGGGAGAGAGAAAGAAAGAGACCACATTTATATAACTTTTACTACAGTAGATCGTTATAATTGTTCTATTTTATTATTAGTTATTTTTGTTCTTCTCTTACTATACCTGATTTATAAGTTAAGGTTTATCATACGTATGTATGTATATGAAAAATCATAGTATTTTTAGGATGAAGTATTGTCTGCAGTTTCAGGCATCCACTGGGGGTTTTGGAACGTATCCCTCATGAATTTTTGCCATATTGGCAAAAGTTAAGCTGCTGGATTTGATATGTTTTTATTGGAGTCTCAATTCATCCAGAGGGGATTTGATCAGTGCTGTGAGGGAGTCACAAACATGCACAAAAGTAACAGTACTAGAGAAAGGTCTTAAGGATTAAGGGCAGGGTGTGCTATAGAAGTCCAGAAAAATGCTAAGTACAGAATTGAACCTGAGACAGGCTATGAATCATGAAGCTTTATTTCTATTAGTCTTTTTATGTATTCTTTTTGCCTTCCTTTATTATATTGAATAGAAGTGATGGTTGTAGGATGTCTTATATTGTTGCCATTCTAAAACGGAAATTTTTCTTCATTAAGTATGTTGTTGCTACAGACTTTTTGATTTTTGGTATGCATAGATTCCACCTAGATTCCTTTCATTGAACCAGTCGGTATATCCATCCCCCAGCTACTGTAAATTCTTGGCAGTTCAAAGTTTTTAACTGTCTCTTTCTACAAGGAGTAATTATCCTTGACCAAACTAGAGCCACAGGGACAATCCATGGCTAATCACTGACTGATATTGAATTGCAAAGACTGTCTGCTTTTTAAGTGCCATTGAAATGATAAGGAAAGAAAATGACAGGCTTGTATTTATTAATCAGCAACCTAAGATGAAATATGAGAGTCAAAAATGGTCCCTGGCAGCATTTAAAACAAACACGCAAAACCAAACAAAACTTACTTCCTGCAGTGGCAGAAACAAACAAAGCTGAAGGCCAAGGCAGAATTTATTTTTTGAGAGTAGGAGAATTTCAGAAAAAGCTGAATTTTCTTTGTCTTGGTGAAGGTCCTAATAATAACCAAGTGGGATCTTAGAGACTGGGGATGGGAACATCTAGCCTGAATTTCTCTTTATGTGTGCCTGTCCATAGACAACTTGAGTACCCTCACAACATGGCAGCTGGCTTCCCCCAAAGAAACAGAGCCACGAAACCAGGCAGAAATTGCAATGCCTTTGAAAATCACATCCCATTACTTTCACAATATCCAGTTGGTCAGGCAGTTGGGGTCTTTTCAATGTGGAAAGGAACTACCCAAGGACATGCCCATCAAGAGGCATGGTCACTAGTTGCCACCTTGAAGGCTAGCATTAAGAACATTTGTGATTCATGGAAGGATATCAACGTATCAACAGGAACAGGAGTTTGGAAGAAATTGATTCTAACTTTCATAGATGACTTTGAAGGGATCAAGACTTCAGTGGAGAAAGTAACTGCAGATGTGGTGGCAATAGCAAGAAAATGGGAATTAGAAGTGGAGGCTGAAGGTATGACTGAATTGCTATAATGTCACAATCAAATTTTAATGGATAAGGAGTTGCTTCTTATGGATGAGCAAAGAAAGTGGTTTCTTAAGATGGAATCTACTCCTGGTGAAGATGCTATGAACACTGTTGAAAATGACAATAAAGGATTTAGAATATTCCATAAACTTAGTTGATAAAGCAGCAGCTGGGTTGGAGAGGATTGACTCCAATTTTGTAAGAAGTTCTACTGTGGATAAAATATTATCTCATGCCACAGAGAAATCTTTTGTAAAAGGAAAAGTCAATCAATACAACAAACTGTCTTATTTTAAGAAATTTTCACAACGACCCCAATCTTCAGCATCCACCAACCTGATCAATCAGCAGCCACCAACATGGAGGCAAGACCCTCCACAAGTAAAAAGACTGCAACTTGCTGAAGGCTCAAATGGTCATCAGCATTTTTTAGCAGTTGAGTATTTTTTAAATTACAGTATATATGTCCATTGTCTTTATTAGACATAATGCTATTGCACATTTAATAGACTATGGTGTAGTGTAAATATAACTTTTATATGCACTAGGAAACCACAACATTTGTGTGACTGGCTTTATTGCAATATTCACTTTATTGTGATGATCTGAAACTCAATCGGCAATATCTCTGAGGCATGCCTGTATTTAACATTTAACATTTTTAAGAGACTGTATTAGTTTGCTTGCGCTGCCATAACAAAATAGCACAGACTGGATGGCTTAAACAGCGTAAATTTATTTTCTCGCAGTTCCAGAGTCTAGAGGTCCAAAATCAAGGTGTTGAGAGGTTTGGTTTCTTGCGAGGCCTCCCTTCCGGGCTTGTAGACGGCAACCTTCTCACTGTGTCATTACATGGCCTTTTTGGTATAGAGGGAGACATCATGCACTGGTGTCTCTTTCTCCTCTCTTTGAAGGAAATCAGTCCTATTGGATTAGAATCCACTCTTAGGACTTCATTTCATCTTAACTACCTTCTTAAAGGCTCTATCTCCAAACCCAGTTTAATCAGGGGTTAGGGCTTCAATATATGGATTTTGGAGGGACAGAATTCTGTCCATTACACCCTCCATAACCCGATATTCCTGACTCATCTCTCTTTACTAACACAAATGCTAAGATTCTGCCACGAGAGTATTTTAAGCATAAAATGCACATCCTCCCTTTTTTCTCTAGTCAAGATTTTATCCAGGTCAAACTTCTCTGGTTTTCCCCAGTTCAATGCAGAAATAATTCATACACCATCTTTGCTCCTTTATAATGTTTTGCCTAAATCATTAATAAAACTAACATAAGAATAGTATTTTTCAATGCTTGTAATTCTTTCGTGCCTAATGTTCCCTATTAAATATCACAATCGCTGTATGATACAATTATTAATAAGATCATTTTATGAATGTGGTAACTGAGCCTGAAAGAGAGTATTTATTCATTCTATCACAATCAAGAACATTAAGGAATGAGCTTTTTGTAGATCATGGCACCATTCACTGATATATGAAACATTGAGAGTAAAGCAGGGTTTGTGGGAAGAGTCATGTTTAATTTGGCACATATTAAGTTTGAGGTGCCTATGACACATCCAAGTGTGTAAATATTATATGGTTACTTTATATAGCTAGTCTTGTGTTAATGTACAAGTTGGAATTTTATCTTCTCATTTCATAATGTTAGCACAAGTGCTAAAATGGCAAATGACCTCTTTTATTCTATGTCTTAAAGAATAATGCCATAATTATTTCTCTATTCCATACACGTTTCCGATATTCTTTTTCTCCCCATTATCCCCATACATTTCAAGTTAAAGACAGCCACTTTTTAGAATCATAGAAGTGTACAGGACCTGCAGTGAATATGACCTTAAGAAGTAACCTATATTTAGTTCTCTTATTTTACAGATGAAGAAAGCAAGGTACGGCTAGTTAAATGATTCACCCAACATCACACTTACTGCCCATATGGGGACTAACATTCAGATTTTCTAATTCCATTTCAAGAGACGATTTCATTAGACCCCTGATTCCCTAACAGTATTTTGCAGAACATAAATTATATAAGAAGTTCAGTGAATGAAATGATTCAAATGTGTCTGTTAACATTAAACACAATCCCCACTCCTGGAGAGTTGCAGTGAATGACCTGTTTAAATTTATTTAACCCAGCATTTAATGACACTTCCCCTTTACCACCATGTATTAATGTCAGTAGGAGATGCAATGGGGAGTGCTACACTATGCCACCCTTGAATATGATGTTGGTGAGTCTGAAAGGGACTTGTTTGCTCAGCTGGACAAGTATTATCCTGCTGAGATAAGGTTAGGATGATGCAGAAGGAAGTAGTTTCATTTGCTTTGGTAGATTTATGCTGCTATTGGAAGGCAGAGGACATACAAATGAAAAAGTTTTAGTAATAAATGAGTATGGGATTGTTTTAATGACCCACCTAAATGTTATTAATCTTATGACAGGGTGAGTTTTTGAAATATTTGATTTCTTCTAGGTAAGGAGTAATGTAAATACACTAAATTAGGAGTCCAGGGTTTCCAACTGGAGAATTGTACTTTTCATGTTAGTTGCTAGGAACTAGGCAATAAAGTTGTTGTGCTTTTATCTGGCAAAAAAGTTTGAGGAAAGACAGGAAAATAATTAAACAGAGTTAGAGTTTAATGCTGAGTAATTAATTTTGTTGCCTGAAGTAGTAAAGATGGATAAAAAGAATTCATTATAATGGAAATCTCAGCCCAGTTTTATGGAAGCACCCTGACTTGAATTTGAAAGAAACAGAAGTATTATTAATAAAACTTACATATAAATAGGAAGTGAAAGATTATTAATGCAACCTATATACACCTCAGTGATACAAGTTTAATCGAAACCATAGACAGTCCTGAGAAAAACAATATGCTAAAATATGAAGTGTTATAAATACATGAAAGAACATTTACATAATTTTCCAAGTCATTATAACAAGAGAAAGGCATTTTCATCCAGCACCAGGTATAGATGCAAAACGTGATTCACTTAAATATTTATTTATAGATAATTACTGAATAAGAACAATTTTGATGAATATTAATTTCTATTTAAATGTTATACCTAATGAATAATTAAGCCAATAATTTAAAAGTAAAATATTCCTTGTTAAAGATATGTCCTGCTAATTAAAAAATTTAAAAGATTACACATAAAAATTATAATGTGGGCCAGATGTGGTGGCTCACGCCTGTAATCCCAGCACTTTGGGAGGCTGAGGTGGGTGGATCACCTGAGGTCAGGAGTCGAAGACCAGCTTGGCCAACATGGTGAAACCCCATCTCACTAAAAATACAAAAATTAGCCGGGCATGGTGGCGGGTGCCTGTAATCCCAGCTACTCAGGAGGCTGAGGCAGGAGAATCACTTGAAACTGGAAGGTGGAGGTTGCAGTGAGCCAAGATGGTGACACTGCACTCCAGCCTGGGCAAAAGAGCGAAACTCCATCTCAAAAAAAAAAAAAAATATAATGTGGAAGTGGAAAGGACATTCATATAAATGTCTATCCAGGATTTTGCCAGCATCACTGTAGCTGGAAACTAAGAAAAATCATAGATCAAAAAATTTCTCGTTTAAAAAAATACAGTTTGAAAGTACAATTTTTTGTTTTTTCATAACAAAGTAATCAAACTTATAACTACTATCTATATTAATGTAAAGGAAACAAATGTAGTGTTATATACACTACACCATTAATATTTACATACATTAATGGAGAAAGTCAAATGTGGAAACACTTCTGAACTTAGAAGTCTGCCAGTTATGAGCTCTATGTACATAGACCCTTCTGTGTCTTTCAGGAAGTGGAAGAATTACGTAAATTGTAATCAGCATGCGAATATTAGATATTTAACTGGAGCAGTCAGTACTACTTCCCCGATCTCTCACTTGCTGAGAGATAATGAATTCTTTATTTCCAGTAAAGGCAAGTTTTGTTCCTTGGAATCGTAATTATTGAGATCCAGTGATGTTCAAGGCCCCATGCTAGAATTATGAATAGGCAGCTCTTTGCTTCCATAAATTTATATCCCAAGAGAAAAGCAAATAACTCTTTGCAAATACAATGATGATAGGAATTGTCATAAGCAAGTTACACATAAGGTACTATGAAGCCTCAGAAATTATAATTATTACTTTCAATTGTAATGACTGGAGAAAGTTTGGCATGCACACTCTGACATGAAGGATAGGTAAGATTTGATTTGCAAAAACAAGGCAAGGGATATTCTAAAGGGAATAAAGATCAAAAGGAATGCTATGGCTCTACTACAGGCACTTTGGGCAAGTCCCTGTAATTACAGTAAAGGGTACTGAAGAAATAAAATTAAATTAATTAAAATAAAATTAGAAATAACGTATAAATAGGAAAAAATAGCTAGTAATAAAGCATAAATTAACAAAACCTTATTTGCAATCTAAAAGATTTTAAATTAAGGGTTAATTTTAATTAGCCAAATGCAAGGGTATTCTACAATGAAACTGCATGTTTTTGAAATTAGAGAACATAACGTATTATACTAAAATACAACTGGCTAGAATTTATGGGTAAAAAAGTCAGAACTACTGTTGCATCAAATTCCCACAAAATGGCTTCTTGAGGTAAAAAAAATACCCACTGTTGCATAAATGCCTTCCATGTGCTAGGAAGTACACCAAATCCTTTGTATGTGTTACTTTTTCCATTTATTCCTTACAATATATGAAATGTATGCAATCTCCCTTTTAGAAAGAAAAAAGCCTAGGTAGATAGTAGGTAACTTGCTAGTAAGTGCAAAAGGTAGGAATATGGGCCAGTATGACCCACAGCTTGGCCTCTTAACTATTGCATTACTGCATCCCAAAGTAATATGGTTTCCAAGGAGTACAGAAACCTTACAGAACCAAAATAAAAGCATGTATTTTTTTTTAAATCAGATTTTGCCCTTTCGTTTTAAATTCAAAGCTCGGGCAATACAAGCCCTCTTTTTTTAAGCAGCACAAACATAAGTTTTCACATGAACTCAATTTAACTGCTAGTTAATGAGTAAAACCTAAACTTTAGTCCAGGTGTTGCCCACACACTCTGCAGTGTCAAAAACTGGAGATGAAAATGCTGTAACATTTACAAACAGGTTGCTCTGAATTTGTTTCCCTACAAATACCTTGTAATTCTGCGTTGCAGCTGGTGGAAGCATTTCTAATGCACATTATGCCACATTCTTTGCCATGTTTTTAGGTAATAGTTGGTCTGACTTTGATTTATTGAAGTACAGAGGCGGACAGCCTCCAGCTTATGAGAAGCGCCCTACAAAGGCACGGATGTTACCGCACTGTGACTCAACTATTGCCTTATAGTTCTAGTTTTGCAAAATTAATATTGAAAAATACAAGCAATGGGCATATGTTCTAATTCCTAGTGCCTGGGCCTCAGAGCCTCCAGCTTAGCCCAGAGCAGTGCGTAGAGGAAGAAGGTATTCCTGGAGTTTAGAAACACGCCGACGCCCCTTCCCAATACAAAAACTACCACCCCACCAAAGGGTCCCAGACAGTTCAGAAAGGTCAGAAGCTACTTCCACCGCTTTCCGTGCCTGTTTCCGCCTCCAATTTCACTTCCGGGGAGGGGACTTCCGGGCCCTCAGCCTTAAGGGGCGGGAGTTAAAGAGGAGTCGGAAGTGGCACCAGCACTTCCGGTACGGAAAACTCGCTGCTGCCCCAACCTGGCTTGACAGGCTTGGTCTCTGCAAGTGGCTCTCAGCCCCTTCTTCTTTCCTGCCTCACCTTCCAATTCGTTTGCCGCCGCCGTCCCGCAGCTGCTGTTTCCGGAGTTGCCCCTTCCCCATGTTCCGGGGCAGGAGTCCGCAAAGCGAAGATCCGCCCGCCGGTTCCTCATCATGTCCGAACTGACTAAAGAGCTGATGGAGCTGGTGTGGGGCACCAAGAGCAGCCCCGGTCTCTCGGACACCATTTTCTGCCGCTGGACGCAAGGTACCCTGGCGGGGCTCTCACACTTGCAGCCGCTGCTTCTTTTGCCCTGCGAGAGTCCGCCTGTGACGCCTCTCGCTCCAGCCCCTCGCGTGCCCCGCTCTCTGCCCCAGTCGCCGTGCTCAGCGCTGAAGCTGGACTTTCTAGACACGCCCTGCCTTGCCTTGGTGGGGAGAGTTTGAGTAGGAGAATGGTTACAGCTGCCACTAAATACCCGCAGCGCTCTTTCCATCCTCCGGGCTGCCCTTCGGCTGGGGAGGAGGAGAGGGTGGCCCCTTGCTGGGTTGCAGGGCGTGACACGGAAGATGCGCCCCGTGCCCCGGTGTCACTTTCTCAAGGGGTGCTGTGGCCTTCCGCATCTTTACCCCCTAACAGAGCTGTCTATTGGTGGTGGTTGGTCTATTTTTGGTGAGAAGGAGGGACGTCCAAGGGAAAGTCCAAGTGGCTAATTCCAAAAAGCAGTTTTTTGTTTGTATTGTCATTATGTGGTTAGGCGTGGTAGTCTGTGTATAAACACTGTTATTTGCTAAAAAGTGTACTCTTGGCCCAAAGTATCCCCGTTTTTTATATGGTTTATTATCTGTCACGGTTAAAAAAGGAATATGGATCATAGTACTTCCTCGGCCGGTATGCTTGTAACCCAGACAGGACTTTTACTTACATGAAGAGTCTTAGTACAAATAATAATGAAATAAAATAAGCATTTATTGAATTCTTGCACTGTAACAGGCTGGGCGCTTTATACTAGTAACTATCCCTAATTCTTAAGTTTGGATAGGCAAACAACTGACACATTCCTAAAGGTGACTTAGGAAAGATGATGATGAGGTTAAAACATAACCTTGAGTCAGAAGGATCAATAATTTATGTATGTAAAACACTATTATTATTAAAACATCTATTTAGGGAACACCTGTTCCCGAAATAGATTGGGCGGAATTTTGGCATAGTAAATATAAACCCCTATTTCAAAACGTGTATTTTGTAACAAAAATTCAGGATTTACGTAATCTCTCCCTCCCTCCCACATGTTTGTTTTAAGAGCTGGTAAAATTACAATTACGATGTATTGTTAAGTTGGGATATTTAGTCCCTCACTGTTGCTTTGCAGGCGAAAAAAATTAGTTGTAAAGGTAAATGACTGGGCCAAAGTTGCACAAATCGATAGAACTGGGAGTGGATTCCAGGTCTCTCGATTCCTAATATACCTCTGTTTTCATTATCTTCCTTTGAGTTCCCAAACCCTACATGTAATGACTTGGGCTCTTTTTTTTCACATTCAATTATGTCAGTTACCTAATCTTGGGCTTCTTAGAGGGAGATTTTATTTTAACACTTCCCACTTTGACTTACTTATTCTAATAGTAAGCAGCTCTAAAATACTGTGAAAGACTAAGAAAAAATTTACTTCCATTGTAATCAGTTAACATTTATTAAACATTTTACAAAGTAGAATAAGATAATATTCAGCCCTGTTTATATTTATACTGTAATGCAAATACAAGGAAGATTCAGGGTGGCAGTTCTAGTAATGGTTAAGAGCACAGTCTGGAATAGATGTACTTGGTTCAGGTTCATGTGATTTAGCTTATTTAAGCCTCAGTTTCCTTCTCTGTAAAGTACAGATAATAGACCTTACAGAGTTATTGTGAGGATTAGAGGCCATGTAAATAATTTAGGTGCTTAGCACACTATCTGACGTATAGTGAACACTCAGTATATGGTAGCTGTTTTTATATTATTTTAAAAAGTGTTTAATTGTAGACTATGCCAAATTCACTCTTTGGCTTTTTCCTGACAATTACAATAAGTTGTTTATTTGATGGCTAATCATTATTCTAAATAGAACTTTATAATGACTTATTAGAACGCTCTGCCACCTTTAATCATGCAGAAATTCTTTAACAGGATTAGTTCCATCAGTACCATTTCAAAATAAAGGATTTCTTTCTTTTTTTCGTTTACAGGGTGCAGTTAGTTATATTTTGGATATGTAGCTCTTCAAGGCCTTACACTGATTAAGATTTTAAGGCAACCAAACATATATTTTTGAAGTTATCGCCTCTGAATCAGAGGGGTCCTGTTACTGGTTTTGATATGTTAACTGTTGTATTCATTTGTTTGTTCTTTGAGGCCATTGCTAAATATTGCTGTGGCAGTCCTTTGGGATTGTGGGAACAGGCACAAGACACTGCTTTGCTGCATTACTAATGTGACATCAACTCTGGCTTTATTTCATAGTCTGTGATCGTGTCTTCAGTTGACAACTGCAGTCTCATTAGTTTTCTGGAAGCAAGATACAGATGTAAGATGTTTGGCATGAATATTTATACAATTATGTCTAGAGATATTTCATCTATAAAATTATATTGATTGATCAAGTTAAATTCTTTTGATATGGTTGTTAAAACAATAAGCTGCAGGAGTGGCACATAGTTGTTTTTAATTGGCTTGACATTTTTAGATAATTCTCTTCTACAAATCCCTGTTCGTTTTAAAAAATGCGGGGTGTTTTTTTTCTTCTTCTTTTTTTGGGCAGTTTTAATTTTAAAGGCAATAAGCCATGTAATTTAAGGGCTTAAAGTTGGCAGGGTTTTATTTTAACGTGAAAATTTATTCTTCTCTCTGCTTTCCTCCTGCTCAATTGCCTATAGTACTTTTTAAAGAATAGCATATAATTTTCACTTCCTTAGCTCATTAACACTATTTATCCTCCCCCCTTCCCACAAACTACACCAGTATTCCAAGCTCTTACAGTTGAGAGTCAGTAGGGTGGGAGGGAAGACAAACAGTAAATATAACGTAGCATAAATTACACATGTACAATAAATAGTTTGAAGATGAGGAAATACAGAGTTCTGGGTGGGGTGTCCTGGTCAGGCCTCATTTTAAGATGAGATTTGAGCAAACACTTGGAGTCACTCAGCTAGTCATGCAGAAGTCGGAAGAAAGAGTGCTCCAGGCAGAACAAATGGTAGTTATAAAAAACTTCACAGAAAATACACTTGGTCTGTTTAAGGAACAAGAAGGAAGTTAGTGTGGCAGGAGGGGGAATAAAGGAAAAGGAGAGTAATAAAAGATGATATAAGAAATGAAATGGCCCAAATCATATAAAGCTTTCTAGGCCATTAGAAGGACTTTCACTCATCTTATACATGAAATAGGGGTCCTTCGAAGGTTTGAAGCAAAGGAGAGATACTACTTGACAAGTTTTTAAAGGACTGATCTGCCTGCTGTGTTTGAGGATAGACTGTAGTGGATTGGGACAGCAAGATCAGATAAGAGACAATGGCAGCAGTCCAGGGGAGAAAAGATGCTATCTTGGACCAGAGTAGTGGTAGTGGAGATGGTAAGAAGCGGACAGAGTGACCACAACCAAACAGAACCAAAATAAGAATCAGCTAGACCTAACAGAAGTAGTATTTCTTGTATAAATAAAAACATTTTGACTTATTTGGAATTTATTTTCTTTTCAATATTGATTGCTTAGCTCAGTGTTTGGCAAACTTCTTTAAAGGGTGAGTGGCCTTTTTATTGCCTCTCAGCTCATTAATGGTATTGCAGCAAAAGCAGCCATGGTTAGTATGGGTGTGGCTGCATTCTAAAACATGAAAGCAGATGAGGGTTGTAGTTTGCTGACGCCTGAGGGAGAGTGTAAACTCTTATAGCCATTTTTCCTTCTTCCAATTATTTTCCTTCTTCCAGTTATTTTATTGTTTCTCCTAAAGACTAGTCAGAGAGAGATTTATTTTTGCTATTTGTAGCAGTACAGTGGGTGGGTTTTTTTTTTCTTTTTCCCCAGGGGAAGAGGGGCGTGTAGGTGTAGTTGATTGAAATTAGAGCTTTGGGCTTTCAGTGTAGCACAATTTTTGTTACGTAATATGAAAAAAAGATATTTAACAAATAACTTAGGAAAATTGAGGGATCCATTAAAATATAAATATAAAATATATTAGGAGTTAATACAGTTGGGTTAATTTAAGGTTTAAAGGCGTGTTTGGGTATTTATTTTAATGTGATTTACTATTTTATCAAAGTAATAAAATGACACACCAACATCATTAATTTTTCTTCCAAAGTGAAGCTAATACTGTGGATCACATCGTTTAAAAGTTTTTTTGTTGTTTTTGGAAGTTTTTAACATTCTCTTATATATATTTTTCCTTTCTTCAACATACCTAAATTATAATTTGCCTAACAACCAATATTTCTTAATTCGTAATTGGTAAGCATATATGACAAAATTAATTCCTTGGTACTTTGAATATATAATTTGTTTTATTATTCAAATACTTGAAAGTATCTGTGATAATATCTTATATTTGTACTATATTTTACAGCTTATGAAAATCTTACCTAATCTTTGCAACAACCCTGAAAGATAGGAAAGAACAAATGTAGTTATCCTCATTTTTTTAGATGTGAAGTCCAATTGAGATATTTGACTCAGCCAGGATGTCAAACTAAGTCTTTCTATAGCCTTGTTTACATGGAAGGCTAGAATTGTAGAAGGTATAGTTGTCAAAATGGTGTGCAAAATGTGTATATGTATAGTAAGTAATATGAAAACAAGAGATTGAAAAATTGCGATGAGGTTCATGGCTCAGGTTTACCCTGGTTCTGAGCTATAAAATGTGAAAATGAGAAAGATTTTTCTGTGATCTGTAGTACTGTGTAATGTGATACAAAATTGTCTACGTAGGATTAGGTGTTTTAAGATGGGTAATTTCAGACGTAATCAGGAAAAACGGCCATTTATGGTAAGTTAAGTCCTTTTAAAACTAGGAAATAATTTGAGTATGAGAACTCTTGAGAAGAAAAGTAATGCTGTGTCCTGAGAAATTCAAACTTAAGTAAAACCTTATTATGAAAAGAGAAGTCTACTCAGCATAGTCCTGTTTTAGGATAGAATACTTAATTTTCATTTAGCTGACTTTATTTCATTTTGGCTCTACTAGCCTTTGTCCGTTATCAGTTAACACACTCAAACATGTATACTGGAATTAAACAGAATTTGGCATGAAGCATAACTGCTTAGAATTCACTCCATGGGCTTTTAATATTAAAAGTACAAAAGCAACTCACTGTAACGCATTTCCAACTGAAAGCCCCACCTGTGGATAATTGAGTTACATGATTTAAATTTTTAAGGAAGGCAAGATCCATTACTAATTCACACTTTAATTTCATACACGAAAAGTTTAGCAGATCTTAATTTTGCCTCTGCACTTGGGTACAACACTAGGGTCCCTTTCCTTATTCTCAGTAGAAGAGCTGGCCAAACAGTGAAGATTTCATCTCTTGTTCCTAGGTTGGACCTTAAATTTGGTTGTTTTAACATAACCAGAAACCTTAGTTGTCACTTTCTTATTAAATTTGTTACATGTATCTTCTCTATTCCAGTTCTCCATTTGTCCTATTTTTGATCTCCCAGGCTGCTGTGTATTGCTGGAGAAAATTGTGTCCAGCACCAATACAAATGTAGTTAAATCTTAGCTGAGCCCTCAGTGCTTCTCTTAGTTCTTTCCTTATGTTTTTTGGAATTAACACTTTCCTCAATTCTGTACCCTTCTCATTCCTCTCACTCTCAATATAACACCTGTTCACTTTTTCATTTTTCCTCATATGTTTAACTTAAAAGCCTTCTAAAATTTACTTCTTCTCCTAGGCCAGTGGCTCTCAAGTTTTTGGAACTCAGGTCCCCATTACAGTGTTAAAAATGATTGAGGACTTCAACTCAAAAAATTTAAAACTTAGTGAGACTCTTGGCATTGTTTTACATTTTTGCTAATCTCTTTAATGTTTATCATATTAGAAGACAGCTGGATTCCTACACTGGCTTCTCCAGTCTGTGGCAATATATTATTTTGGTTGAAGTGGATGCAGAAAATCTGGCCTCACATATGCAATTGGAAAAGGCATGAGAAGTATGGTAGTAGCCTTTTCAGATAATTACACATAATCTTCTTTAATACCACACCAAAACTTGACACATCAGAGTATTGTAGAGATTAGTTGCAATACGAAATCTAAAACCAAATCATGTAACTTTTCATCCTCTGTTAAATTGAAATCCATTGGTCTGTCTTGCAGTTTTAATAGATCTCTTACCTCTGCATTAATTTATAACAGTATACATCAGTGATTTGGAGATTATCAGTCTACTGGTTTATGACAATCTTCCAAGTGTTAGTGTATGTCATTATACCATACCAGAAGTCACGTTTGTTTCTGTTACCAGTGATGTCATCGGAACAATCTGTAAGCATTGAGAAGCTGTCAGAGTCACAGTAGTGGACACAAGTGTTCCAAGTTACTGCTTGAATGCTCGAAATTTTATCACTGGCTATTTTCCTTGAAATGTCAAGCTCACTTATTTTTGAGAAAATGTCAGCCAGATACTCAAGTCTGAATAACTGTAGCTTATTGGTAGTTATACTAGGTAAAAGCAGCACTCCATTAAAAAAAAAAAAGTAGCTGGTTCAGCTTGCAGTTAAAAAAATTACACATATACTTTTCCTTGAGATAACTTTTGACCATCATACCCAGTATGTAGCATAAGTGCTTTATGGGTAGCTTCCATTTTGTTCCGCAGAATATATTTTTAAAAAGACATTGTATTCAAGATCAAGATACAATAAAATTAGTAATTTTGACTGCAGCAGTAAGTATGTTCTTAAATTGGCTCTGTAGTTGTGTGAGGGTATGGGGGTGTTTTTTAGGACAGTGACCACTAGGACAGCTTGATGTTACTGTCTCGATGTATGCTAAGGAACCAGCAATGTATTACACCATAGCTTTTGTACCATCACTGTGAATGTCAACACAGCGAAAGGGGCAAATCATATCTTAGTTTTATCATGTAAATAATTGTAACTTCCAGTGGGCCCCCTGAAAGGTCTCTAGGATTTCCAGGGTTATCGGTGGACCACCTTTAAAAGTCTCTCTCAGCTCTTTTTCAGGACTTGGAGACCTTAAACTTCCTCTTTTCCATATAATCACTCTTTCCCTTTTCTAATTCACACCCTTCAGTCTACAAAATTAATAATTCTTGATCCAACTACCCTTCAAACTATCATTCCTTTTTCCCTTCTGCCAAACTTAAATATAGTTGTCTGTTGGTGTTCGAGGGGTAGTGGGTTCAAGGATCCCCCTGCAGATACCAAAATCCATAGACGCTCTGCAGTATTTGCATATAACCTACACACGACTTCCCCTACACTTTAAATAATCTCTAGATTACTTACAATACCTAATACACTGTAAATGCTATGCAAATAGTTGTTACATTGTATTGTTTAGGGAATGATATGAAAAAGAAAGTCTGTACATGTTTAGTACAGACCCAACCATCGTTTTTTTCCCACCCTCAAATATTTTCCATTTGTGTTTGGTTGAATCTGTGGTCGCCAAACCTATGGATATGAACGGCCAACTGTAGTTTGCTTTTACTATTTCTCTTTCTAATCCGAATTACACTTCAACCTTTTAAAATTTGGCTACTCTCCCTAGTGCTGTAAATTTATATTTTTAGTATTCCCAATGACATGATTAATCTAGTATTTTAATTTATATCTTTATTCAGCAGCATTTGTAATAGTTGACTACTCTTTGCTTCTGATTTTTCCTTTCTAGGAGCTCAGTTAATGTGCTTTTCTCTTATCCTTCTAATGTTTATCAGTCTCCTTTGCTGACTCAGCCTCTGCTCACTTTTTAAAGTTCCCAACTTCATTATTTTTGTTTTACAAGTTCTCATTCACTTTAACTGACATGTTTAAGATGATTGAAATTGCTGCCTCTAATCCTAAGTCCTGCCCTGAACTACACACTTACATCTCCGATTTCTAAAAGTTGCCAAATGGTTATCTCACATTTTTGAGACTGAACTTGGTATTCCTAGAAACAAACACTGCCATTATCTTCCATGCCAAAACATCAACAAGCATTAATTGAGCAATAGCCACAGTATGTTGTAAACATACTGTGGGAAAACAATGACCAGTAACACAGATACAACACCGGTCAGGCAAGGCAGATGATTAAGAAGTAAACAAACAATAACTACAGATTATGGTAAGTACTGGTTGTGCTAGGGGATGACAGGAGAGACTACTTAGATAGGTTTGTAAGGAAATATCCCTATGAGGAATTAACACCTAAACTGAGACCTGAAAAATAAGGATTTATCTATATGGAGAGTAGCGGAAAGAGCATTTTTATGTAGAGAGAACAGTGAGCATTGAGGCTACAGGTAAAGTCTCTGGGATGTTCTGAGGACCTAAGGTCACAGTAGATAATGATTGTAAGTGTAAACAGAGTCAGCTGGATTGATAGATCATACAGTGTCTTCTAGACCACAGAAAGGAGTTTGGGTTTTATTTTAATTGCAATGAGAAGCCACTGAAATGTTTTAAGCAGGCTGTGTCAAAATCTGATTTCCATTTCTAAAATACTTTCTGGCAACTGTGTGGTGAATAGTTGGGGACTGGACAGGAGGGAGGAAGGAATAGGGAGACGTGGTTGGAAACTCAACAGTATTTAAGGTCAAAGATTATAGCGGTTTGAACTATAGGGTGGACTGGAGATGGGATGGAAATGGACACGTTAAAGATACGTTTTGAAGCCTTGAAGCAGGCAGGCCTTATCTTAGGGTGAAACCTATAGGTAAGTTTGAGTTTTCCAGAGAAATGGTTAGCAGGTGTATCAAGCAGAAGAAACATTTACAAGGGGTAAGAGACATAGAGAAAATGAAATATCTCAGGACCTGAAAGAAAATGTGCCCAGAATCTAAAAGGGAGAATGGCAAAGGGTGAAGAGGGAGATGCAGGCAGGAGCCAGATAATACAGGACCATGTTAAGGGACTTAGACTCTGTCTATGTCTGGAGTCCTAATCTGGGCTATATTTGGGAATTACATGGTTATAACAAGGAATGGACTGTCTGGGAGTAGATGAGATTACTCAGGAAAAATATATAGAATGAAAGGAGCATAGATCCTAAAACCAAGACCTGGGGAACATTAGCACTTAAAAGCAGTGATCATGGAGACAGAAGAACTAGAAAAGCAAAACTTGGAACAAAAAGCCAAGGGACAAAAGTTTCGCAGGTTTGTGGTCAGCATTTCAGATTGATTCTTTGGAAGGTTAAATAAGATAAGATTTGGGAACTAGCCTGTACTGATGACTGATGAACTTGGGTGAGAATGAGTTTGGTTCACTTATCGGGGGAACCAGCACCCAATATTTCAACGTAGGTTCTTTTCTATTTTCCCTAAGTGTTGGCTGGTCTGAGAAATAAAGGGACAGAGTACAAAAGAGAGAAGTTTTAAAGCTGGGTGTCGGGGGGAGACATCACATGTCAGCAGGTTCCATGATGCCCCCTGAGCCGCAAAACCAGCAAGTTTTTATTAGCTGAGATCACATGCTTTAAGGGCAATAAAATATCACAAGGCAAATGGGGGCAGAGTGAGATCACAGGACCAGGGCAAAATTAGAATTGCTGATGAAGTTTCATGTTGTACTGGGCCGGCATTGTCATTGATAACATCTTATCAGGAGACAGGGTTTGAGAGCAGACAACCGGTCTGACTAAAATTTACTAGGCAGGAATTTCCTAATCCTAATAAGCCTGGGGGCGCTACAGGAGACCAGGGCTTATTTCGTCCCTTATCTACAACTGTATAAGACACTCCCCGAGCGGCCATTTTAGAGACCTCCCCCCTGAGAATGCATTCTCTTTCTCAGGGCTGTTCCTTGCTGAGAAAAAGAATTCAGCAATATTTCTTCTATTTGCTTTTGCAAGAAGAGAAATATGACTCTGTTCTGCCCAGCTCCCAGACAGTCAGACCTAATGATCATCTCCCTTGTTCCCTGAACACTGCAGCCATCCTGTTGCTTTTGGGTGCCCAAATTTCATATTGTTCAAACACACATGCTCTACAAGCAATTTATGCAGATAACACAATCATCACAGGATCCTGAGGCGACATACATGCTCAGCTTACGAAGATGACGGGATTAAGAGATTAAAGACAGGCATAGGAAATTATAAGAGTATTGATTGGGGAAGTGATAAATGTCCATGAAATCTTCACAGTTTATGTTCAGAGATTGCAGTAAAGACAGGCGTAAGAAATTATAAAAGTATTAATTTGGGGAACTGATAAATGTCCATGAAATCTTCACGATTTATATTCTTCTGTCACAGCTTCAGCAGGTCCCTCCATTCAGGGTCCCTAACTTCCCGCAACATTCACTCATGGGTTGAAAACCAGATTAGTGAGGGTTAAGTAAATTGTGTGGTAAGAAAATTGAAACAGGGCATATATAGATGACTAGCTGGACTTTGGGAGGACAAGAGTGATGGAGTGCTGATTGGAGTTTTTGGTGGAATCTTAAGGTTTTGTTTTGTTTTATTTTAATATGTTAGATAAATGTTTATATGCTTCCTGGAAGAGATTGAAGATAAAGAGAGGAGATGGGATGGAATGGCACCCTCTCTGGCACCCTCTCCATTGCTCTCACCTGGTGTCTCAAACTAGAAACTTCAGAAACAGCTCTAATTTCTTTTGTACCAAGCCTTTGCCCCACTTAACACATAGTAAATAAATCTTATTTTTACCTCAGAAATATTATTTGAATGTAGTTTCTCTTCTCCACGGTAATGTTGCTTTCATTACGTCAGCATCATCTCTATAGGGATGTTGAAACAACTTCTTCCTGCTTCTCTTCCTTTAAAAAAGGAAAAAGAAAAAAAAAAAAAACCAGTAAGATGATATTACTGTTTTACTGAAAGATCTCTGCTGGTTAAGTCCTGGTTCTTTGGCCCTTTGCAATATTAACCACTTGTCATCTTTCCTGCCGCCCATTTGCTGGCACCTCCATCCTACCCCCGTACTACCCTTTAGCTGTGTTAAATTTTCTCTGATTTATAAACATTCTGTCCTCTTGGAAAACCTTTTTGCTTTAATTAAGGTATTTTCTTTAGCTGAATTCCATTCATTCACCTTTGCCTCTCTGGCAAATTCCTGTTCAAGATGAGCCTGGAAGTTATCTGTTATGATAGTATAGAGCATGCCTTTCTGTATCCACAATACTCTGCATTCTTCTCTTATAACATTAGTTTATTCCTTTATTTTAGTAATTATCTGTTTGTATGTCTCTCTTCACCTGCACTAGTGGCTCCTCCAGACCAGAGACTGTGTCATCCAGGCATATATCCTAGATGATTGGCATAATATCAGATGTTCATTAACCTGAACTGGTTTGGCTGAATGTCTGAATAGTAACAATTAATGGAATTTATAGGTTCTTAGCATTTTGGAATTGGGATTGATTATTTTAATGAGAACACTGAGGCCCAAGCAGGTGAAATGATCTTCACAGGGTTATCCAGATGGTCACTGGGTTCTCCTAACTTCTGACCCAGGGCCATCTGAAGAACTTCCGCTAGCTGCTATCAGTCAATGCTGGTTGGGTAATATTTAAATTAAGGTAAAGCCAATATAAACACATGTACTGTCTACAATGCCATTTAATTTTTCTTTCTTTTTTTTTTTTTTTTTTTTTTTTTTTTTGAGATGAAGTCTAGCTCTGTGGCCCAAGCTGGAGTGCAGTGGCACAATCTCAGCTCAGTGCAAGCTCCGCCTGCTAGGTTCACGCCATTCTTCGGCCTCAGCCTCCCGAGTAGCTGGGACTACAGTTGCCCACCACCACACCTGGCTAATTTTTTGTATTTTTAGTAGAGACGGGGTTTCATCATGTTAGCCAGGATGGTCTCGATCTCCTGACCTCGTGATCCGCCCGCCTCTGCCTCCCAAAGTGCTGGGATTACAGGCGTGAGCCACTGTGCCCGGCCAATGCCATGTAATGATTAGCTTATAGAATGTGACAGAAAGTTTGAAATGATAGAATGATATGGTATTTAAAGAGTTCTAAAAATTGTTTGAATTTAGTAGACTATCTAGTCCTCCTTAGATGAAAAGTCAGATTCAGTGTCATTTTACTAAAGTCCATACTTTATCCTCCTAGAGGAGTTCCTGGGTGCAAAATTGTGTGAGTATATGTACTCTTACGTGCATTTGGGAGTGGGGGTGGATAGGTTCTATAGATTTTTTTTTCAAAAGGTTCCTTGATCCACACCTCATGATTTGAAGATATTTTGCTGTTGTGATAAGTGATCATTCTCAAAGCAAAGTACATGAAAGATTCTTTTAGCTGCTACTTGAATTATATTTTTAATCTTTCCTACTTGCTTTCATTTTTAGGGTTTGTGTTTAGTGAATCAGAGGGATCTGCATTAGAACAGTTTGAAGGTGGCCCCTGTGCTGTTATTGCACCTGTTCAGGTAACATAGACTCCTTTACCAACTCCTTAGAGGGACATTTTGAAACGTTTCATACTTGTCGTTTTCTAATGTCTGTACTCCATATAGTAATTATGAGACATAATCAATTAACTCTTAACTTTTGCTCATGTAAATTACAATAAATATCCAAAATAAAAATGAATTCACCATATCGATGAGTTGTGCAATAGTAGCCTTTTGACAATCTTTATTTTCAAGGAAAAATAATAGGCGTTCCCTGACTTTCAGAAAATTAGGAAGTTTCTTGACTTCTTTAACACAGAGATCCTATTAAGTAATAACATGTTATACACTAGATAGGTACAATCACTGTAATTGTACTATTTTCATTATTTCAGTCTGTAAAAGTTACTTTCCTAAAGCTGAAGGTGATTTCATATTTTTCTGGCTTATAACTTTTTCAAATTTGAAAAAAGTTGGCAGCTTATACTATTTTATGCTATAGCTTTGGCTTTTCTGAATAAAATTCGTAACAACTGATTTCAAACAATTTCAAAAACCAAAAATGTTTTTTCTTTGCACAAAACATAGGATTTATCGGAATGTCTTTATTTGATTTGGAATCTTGGTATGTTACATTGTTTGAATTTCAAAGGCTGATTCGCTATAAACTGTTAAATTGTTAAAACCAAGAATTGAATTCTCAGTTTACTGTAATACTGATGATGTCTGTGAATGACAGTGTTACTTTGGAAGTGTTATAAAAGAACTGTTATAAAAATTACAGCTAATTTATTGTTTATGTTTTAACCATCGTGTTTTGAAAATATATATATTTAATGTGGCATTTATTATTCATTGGGTATTAAGAATGCATTCTGGCCAGGCACGGTGGCTCGCACCTGTAATCCTACCACTTTGGGAGGCCAAGGTGGGTGGATCACATGGTCAGGAGATGGAGGCCATCCTGGCTAACATGGTGAAACCCCGTCTCTACTAAAAATACAAAAAACTAGCCGGGCGTGGTGGTGGGCACCTGTAGTCCCAGCTACTTGGGAGGCTGAGACAGGAGAATGGCGTGAACCTGGGAGGTGGATGTTGCAGTGAGCCGAGATTGCGCCACTGTACTCCAGCCTGGGCGACAGAGCGAGACTTTGTCTCAAAAAAAAAAAAAAAATGCATTCCTAAACTGTTGGCTACAAAGTAAATTTGTTTCTCAGAACTTATGCTCTATATAGAGCATAATAATACTTACATTATTAAAAATATATTTCTGTAGAGGAAGAAAAATTATGGTTGATTCCAAAATATCTTTTATAGATCATTTATTTTTTTAAGTTGACTTTTTTTTGCATTAGGAGAATTTTTTTAAAATGAGGAAAAATTTGAATGTCTGAATCTTGCCTTGGAATTATGGAATGTGAAGAATGAGATTTAACTACAAATTAGTAATTATAGCTGTTGTACTGAGTAACTGAAACAACTTTTGGTTGCTAGTAGGAATGTTACCTCAATTTGAAGATTCCTTGTTATGTCCATATGTAAATTAGATTATATAAATACTGCCCCTCTTGGTCAGTAATAGCAAGGTTTTTGTTGCAAGTGCATGAATATAGTTAAATGGAGGGTATACCACAGGAGTTTCCTGTTTTATAAAGTACAGTATATTTCAGTAGTGGTAGTTATTTTTGCAAGTGGGTGTTATGCAATGATGGTTATATTCAAAATCCTGAACCTACTTTTCTATACCTTTGAGGTAGTAATTAAGTTTAAGAATCACGGCCAGGCGTGGTGGCTCATGCCTGTAATCCCAGCACTTTGGGAGGCCGAGGCAGGTAGATCACCTGAGGTCAGGTGTTGGAGACCAGCCTGGCCAATGTGGTGAAACCTCGTCTCTACTAAAAATACAAAAATTAGCTGGGTGTAGTGGCAGGCGCCTGTAATCCCAGCTACTCGGGAAACTGATGCAGGAGAATCACTTGAAACCAGAAGGTGGAGGTTGCAGTGAGCCGAGATCACGCCACTGCACTCTAGCTCGGGTGAAAGAGTGAAACTCTGTCTCAAAAAAAAAAAAAAAAAAAAAAAAAAATCACATAGGCCAGGCACGGTGGCTCACACCTGTAAGCCCAGCACTTTGGGAGGCTGAGGGAAGAGGATTGCCTAAGGCCAGGAGTTCAAAACCAGGCTGGGCAACAGAGTGAGACCCCTGCTCTAAAAAAAAAAAAAAATTGAAAAAATTAGCTGGACATGGTAGTGCACACCTGTAGTCCTAGCTACTCGGGAGGCTAGAAGGGGAGGGTCTTTGAGCTCAGGAGTTCAGGGCTGCAGTGAGCTATGATCATGCCACTGCCCTCCAACCTGGGCAATAGAGGGAGACCCTGTTTCTAAAAAGGAAAAAAAAGAGTCACGTAAACTTTGTAAAGAATTTTGTTTGTATTAATATTTCAGTGTAAGAGTCAAAACTAAGTTATTAAGGAGACCAGAAGTGAGCAAGTACATATATTAAAACTTTTTTAGAGTATAAAAATTAGATCATGATACTGTGTAAGAAGAATAGGCAAAATAATGGAACCAAATACATAATACAATCATAGACCTCATTACCTGTCACAATTTACCAGGAATTTGTCACACCAGGAATAAAGAAGGAACTAAGATCAGTGGTGAAATAAAATAAACTTCCATAAATCCCATCAATATGACTTGTTAGCACTTTGAAGGGAAGATAAGTTTAGATAATTTTGTACCATATATCAAATGTATCCTTGGAATAATATTTAACAATAAGAAACTTAATGTATCATCAACACTCTAAGAGAAACAGAGACTTCCAAACTAAGAAATATTTGCAGTAAATATTAGCAATAAAGGGATATTGTCTTTCTTATATAAATAACTTGGAGAAGTTAATTAGAAAAACACTAAGATTCAGGGGTGAAATGGGCATAGATGTGCAGTCATAACAGGTGGAATGATGCTTTACAGCCAAATAATCAGGATGCTCACCCTCACTAGGAAGCCAGGAAAGTAAAAATAAAACTGTAACTAGGTTCTATTTCTTACTTTTTGTCATCTTTAAAAATAAAATTACAATTGCCAGTGCATGTAAGGGTGGGAAGATGCTGGCACACTCATATACTGCTATATAGTACAAATTTGTGGGTAGGAATTTTAAATTATAATTGGAACCATGACAGTGCAGATTCTGATGTAATAGTTGTGTTTCTGTGAATCTTTTCTAAAGAAATATTTAATATGGAAAAAGTTGTATTTAAAAAGGAGCTTATATGTTAAAGTAGCAAAAAAATTGCAAGCAACCTAATGCACAATAATGTAATTTAAATAATAAGTAAACTTTGATAAATAGCTTGATAGACAAGTAGTGATTAAGAATTATGCTTACGAATTCTGTAGAAAAACAGAAAATACATTCATATACCCATTATGATTTTTCACTTGTAATAAAATTAAAACTAGATATTAAAAAAGATGGGAAGGAAGCATGTCAAAATGCTAACAGTAGTTATATTGGCTGTGAAATAATGAATATCCCCATCTCACTTCTCAAATGTTGTGATGTAGTTATACTTTTCTACTTGATGGTTGTTGCCCTTTTGCGGAAAAATCAGAAGCGCTTGATTAGCATATTTGTAGACTTTATGCCTATGTAAATGGAATATGACTTAGTTTTTTGTTGTAACACCTTGAATTGTTTATTGGTGCCAGGTACTGTGCTAAGTGCATTACATAGATTTTCTCATATAATCTTCGCTGCAAACTTTTAAAGTTTGTACAGTTATTTTTAGTTAGTAATAGTGGAGCCAGGATTCAAACCTAAGTTTGCCTGATAAAAAGCAGTCTTCCTAATCTGTACACTAATACTTTCAAACACAGGTGAGGAAAAGTCGTCATTGTAACCTGTTTTTTCTTGGACCTGCCCTCTAGAGATTCAGAGAGAATAGGTGGAGCCCAAGAAACTGCAATTTAAACAAGTCAGGTGACTGGGATATAGCTACCGTTGAACTACACTTTGAGAAGTAGACACTTCACTGTGCAGCTTTTTATCAAATAACCAATGTAACATCGTTGACTCGCTTAAGGGGAAGTTTAGAAATCCATTTGTCTTTTCTTCTGAATCTTGTACCTTTTTGAGTTAAACTTGAGCTCCTGATAATAAAGTGATGACTCTAATAGTGTTAATCTTGTGTCACAGATGAAGACTAAGGGAACAGAACCACTTTTATATTTAGATTTCTTTTACCTGAAGGAATCTAAATGAAATGTAGACTTGTTCGTGTTCTACAGGGCTTTCACTTTGTGAATAGAGCAGTAAGTTTGTGTGCTTTTCAGTTATTCTGTTATGTGAGTTAGTTCTTCTACTTGTCAGAAAATATGTATTGTGGAAGAAGAAGAATTTTATGAATCTAGAATCAAGTTTATAGCAGTATACTCTGAATAAATAACTGCACAGTTCCTGTCAAATGTGAGGGGAACCCATTTGACATCTTTACAGAACTAGTCAAAAGATTAGAAAGGGAGTACACATTATTTTTTCCCACTTTAAAATTGAAGAATGATATGATGTATGGTTATAATGCATTTCACTAATTATTGCTTTAATTGTGTAAAGGCATTTCTTTTGAAGAAGCTCCTGTTTTCTTCGGAGAAGTCTTCTTGGCGGGATTGTTCAGGTATGATAGCTGTCTTTTAAAACTTTTGCTTCCTCCTCTGTTTTAATAGAGATGATCTAAAATTATCTGAGAAAGTCAAGTATCAGTGGGAATTTTTTTTCCTGAGGTTTCCTTTTAAAATGTTTTAGAAAGTTTCATGAACAGTGACTCCATATTTCCAAATTTGGCTTTCTAACCAGGGGTTATAAGACATGATGGTATAACTAAGGGAAAAACGTTTGGCCTCTTGGTAAAACACGGTGCATTTCCTAGAACTGTTAGGTGGCAGCATGCCATAAAGAACAGTCTTTTTTTTTTTTTTTTTTTTGTAGTCTTATTTAGCTGTGGGCAAGACCTCAGAATTATCATTATATTCCTGCATGTTTTAGTATAATGCCTTACACAATGCAAATACTGCAAATAATTTTGGATGAAATTGCAAATGAAGCTGTCATAGCTTCTGTAACATGAGCTTCTGTACCCAGAGAGATGTGTGGTGCCACCTTATAATAACAAGAATTTGCATTCCACGTGACAGTTTACAAAGATCTTTCCTTCACTTACACAATTTCCTGTGAACCTCACAGTAAATTCTGGAAGAAGTTAGGACACATTACAATCCCAGTTTTGTATCTAAGGATGTAACAGCTTACATTCCAAACCATGACTATAGAATCTACTAATGATTTTGAATTTAAGAGTTAAGGGATCACTTCCATAAGTTTTAAATTAATAGGTGAAATACAAAACAAATTTTAGTAGAGAAGAAACTATTTGAGATACTATTTTTGAAATGAACTTTTAATAAAATTTATACTATTTCTTATACTATATTCACTATATTCACTTTGATAAAACATTTGTAAAGCATTGTCATAAGTGTCATAAATACTGTGGTGATTAGAAAGTGAACAGCATAGTTCCTGCAGTTAAAGAACTGTTAATCCATTAGGAGAGACAGAAACCTCCTTGTATCATAAAATTTTTGAAAGTTTCAGAAAGTAATACTACTTCTTGAGAGTAATACTGCTTGAAAAGAGTGTGGCTAAGGTTCATAAAGAGATGGTCTGAGCATTTGCGCCATTTTCTATAAAATTCTAATGCTCAAATCTGTATTCTAACCACTGGCTTCTGCTGATGTAATGGACTTTGGTAACATATGTGCTGACGGTCTCTCATCTCATTATTCTTATCCCTTTGGGACGGGGTGATCATAGACGTTAGATTAATTCAGATGTGAGGGAAAAAAAATAGAGGTTTCAACAGGCCTTTACATTGTGCTCAGTTCTTCAGTAGAGGAAACCTCTTGGCTTAAATGCTGCAGTTGCTAAAGTTTTAAGAAAGTGATGATCAGTGTCACATTATGATCTTTCATAATGTTTAGTTCTGCATTTTTCAGTATTCTTTTTCTACTTGGTGGTGTTATTTGGATGGCTTTATTTAAAGTGGTGATATTTTAATCCACAAACACATTGTTTTTCTAAGACATAATTTAAAATCTATTTAGAGATTTTTCCCCCATTTTTAAAATGCTTGATTTTCATCATTAACCCATTCTTACTATTGTTATTCATGACAGAATTTTTTTTTTTCCAGAGGAAACCATTATAACTTATGCTTTGGTTATTTTTAGAGGAAGAGCAGAAGGAACTCCTTTGTCATACCTTGTGTGATATTTTAGAAAGTGCTTGTTGTGACCACTCTGGATCATACTGCTTGGTTTCATGGTTAAGAGGAAAGACAACTGAGGAAACTGCTAGTATTTCTGGGAGTCCTGCAGAGTCTAGTTGCCAAGTGGAACATTCTTGTAAGATATATTTTTATTTCCTGAAGTTTTTTTCTTGTTCCTTTGTTTTAATGAATCTATTGAATATTTTGAAGAAAAAATTACTTAAAATTTTCATAACATGTATTCTTTTCCAGCTTAAGCTTAATTACTGAGCCTCACTATTTTTTATTTCCATATCATTTATTTTAACTACTTAGAAGATACTACATTTTTGCAAAAAAAAATGCATCTCTTAAACTTTTAAAAATGTTCTGGTTAACTTCTGCTTGATAATAATCTCTTTTGAGCTTTAGAACTCTTATTTAGAAATAATGATATGCTTCAGTTTCAGATGCCTTAATGTTTTGCTTTGGTATTGCAAAAACGGATTTTTTTGGACATCAGAAGATTTCATAAAGTTATCTTTACTTGCTTCCCAGAGCAAAGATGGGGACATTTCTCCTCATTGCAAGCTGTTTCTTTTCTTTCCGAATTATTTGGATATTTTTATACATATAGATTATTTTAAGGCAATTTTAATTATGCCTTAAGTTTTTCATACCTTGAAGATAAGTTAAATAATAGCTGTTTACGTTAAATAATAGCTATTCTCATTATTCATAAAAATTATATATTCTGTGGTTTTTAACTTTTGAAAATTGTTATGTAATTGACCCGAAAGCTGCCAGTGTGAAATGGAGACAGCTAGTGGTACGGAAGCTAGTTAAGAGTTGCTTTTCTGATTTGCTTTTCAGGAATAATCTTGCTAGTTGATGGTTTTTTATAATTGGTAGTCCCAAGTGCTTATGTTAAATAAGTGACTTATTCTACCCACAGAGCATCACATTAACTATCATCTTTGTGGAAAGTTTTCGTAAAGAGATTACGTACCTGAAAGTACACTTCAATTGTATGGGATACACATTTTGCTTTCCATATAGTATTATCTATAAGGTGCTGTTGCCTCCCTGGACTAAAATGCCTCTGTGTTGTCAGTGTCTTTTTTCTCCTACCTCTGCAGTTAAAATGCCTTAAGCCTGGCAAATTCTAATAGTAGTAACATTTGCAAGGAATAATTTTGAACATTTGAACAGCTATATGATGCTTCCTTTTGAAGCCTTTGAAATATGGCCTTTCAAAAAGAACTTAACATATTTTAGAGTTTATAATGACATTTGAAGACAACAAGTGGAAAACAGTCACAAGGATGCTAGTCCAAAGTGTCACTAAGATTGGTTTTAACATATTCTCCAGGTTTTACTGTGTGGGTGTTAGCACACTTAATAGGTTCATTTAGGATATTAAAATTTTGAAAGAGGAATTGTTGATCTTTTGAAAAGGTATTTTAAAGATTTTGTGCTTAAAGCCAGTCTGTATATTGATGTGAGAAAATAGTAAGATCTTTTTATATAACATTTTCCATTAGTATCTTAACAGTATACTGAGTGCATACTATGAAATATGCTATGCAGTTCTGTGGTGATACGTCACGTTGCTATAGGTTAAAGGGCCTTATAATGCATTCCCTTTGGTACTTCAGTAACTAATTTAGATGGGCATATTATATTGAATTACCCTCCAGAAAACATTTTAGTAATTTTTCCAGTTTACTTTGTATCTCATTTTAAAAGTTGCCATGAAGTAAACCATATTTTAAATTTTTTAAATAATGTATACATTTGAAATACTTTGTTAACTGAAAATTTGAGAATTTACCTTAGTGACAAATGAACTGTATTTATATTACAATTTTTATTCCGTGTAACAATCTATTTTACCTGTTCTTTCCTTTATTCCCAGCTTTGTTCTTTTTCTTGTGTTTTATATTTTTTCACCATCCCTGCCTGCTAAGCTTTTTATTTTGCTTGCCTCTTTTCTCTAAATTATTATCTTTATGTCTACTCTTGTAGTATACCCAGTAAAACTATTTAGATAATCTAATGTTGCAGAACAAGCAGTATAATTTGGAAAAGATTAGGTAGAATTTTCATTTTCTGAAAGTTTTAATGTAAAGTGTTTTCCCCTCTTGTTAATATTACTTTCTCTACAAACATTAATTTCATTGGCTTATGTGGTGTGTATAGTTTTGGCTTGTTGGTAATGCACAGTTGTTCGCAGTAGTGAATACTCAGGTTCAATTTCAGTTTGTTTCCCACATAAACCAAGAAATAACTTAATACATTTGGACTGCTAAAGATTTTAAAACGAAATATGAAACACTCACAACTAGGCTTTGGAAAGCTAGCATAATGTGACATTTTAAATTGTAAATAAAAATCTAAAATTTTGACTTCATAATGAATCAATTTTCTTAACTCACCAGTGAGAATTTATATTTGATAGTAGTAAGATTTGCTTTATGAAATATATGTGAAGTTATTCATTGTGATAAATAACTCCCTGGAGCCAAGACTATCTGTGCTCAAGTCTCATCTCTGCTGTTTAATCCTATGTACTCTTGAGAGGATTTTTCTGTGTGCCTCAGGTTCCTCTTCTGTAAAATGGAGCTAAGAGGGTTTATATGAGGATTAAATGAGGTAAGACATGTAGGGCATTTAGAAAAGGGCCTGGCACTTAGTAAAGTGCTCAATAAACATTACCTCTGATTAAAATGCTTTCTTCTATTTCCTTTGATTAATAAACATAATCTAAATAAGTTACTGAAAACTTTTTAACAGTTATACAAATAAATGAGGAAACAAACTTAAAGCTGTCATTGAACCTGTGTAGTTTGAAAGTGTTATGCCTTTTTATACATGTTTGTTTAATAATTAAGCCTTAAACCTAAAGATTTTATATTATAAAAAGGAAGGTTAGCTCTGATGATATTACTTGGATTTATATAATCTGAAAGATTATTTAAAAGTGCAGGACACATTATGATATGTGAGGCACTGATTATCAGTAATTTTTCATACTTTATAACTGCCGTAGCATAGCTGAACTGAAATGTTATTTAATCACCCTTCTATATTCTCAGTATTATATCGATTTTAGTTATATTCATAATAAAGATGTTGAAATATAAATTCATGTTATAATGAAGTTGAAAATAAACTGAGAATTTTAAGGGAGTAAGGAAATAGGGAAAGTTTTGATTGCTTGAAAGTATTTACAGCCTGCTGTGTGTATCTTGTGTCATTTATTTGCCATGTGTAGTGCTGAAAAGTGTCTTTTATGTATAGCTGCCTTGGCTGTCGAAGAGCTTGGCTTTGAGCGATTTCATGCATTAATTCAGTAAGTAACATTGGAACATTTAAAATACTTACTCTGTGGACACATTGCCACTTTAAGTCTGTTCATACTGTGGAAAGGTTCTTAGTTTTACATAGAAATGCGCTACTTAAACATAAATTTTAAATCCATTGCTTCAGGATTAATTTGCCTTTAAATTAAAATAGTTTGTAAATGTATAAACTATGCTGAGTCCTTAATTAACTACCCAGATACGCTTTTCAAAAACATTAAAAAGCTTTTTCATCATTACAATGAAAAAAAATCATTTTAGCTTAATGTTTCTGTGACCTAAACAAATATGAAGATTTCTAGTAGGATAAATATTAGAATTATTTATTTGCCAGTATCTGTTTTCTATACCTTTTATTAAGAATACCGATATTTTTGTTAGAGCATTTAAACTTTTTATTACAAAGTAAAAGGTAAAGATGGCTGTTGATAGAATTATGGGTGGCATTTGGTTTAAAATGTAACATTAATTTCTTTTAAAAGAAGCCGCAAATGTGTAAGTTATCTTTGGCATTAAGATATTTGTTAAGTAATTTCTAGGATTTAAAAAGTGAAGTTTTCTTTGTGTTTACCCCCTCTTACAAGAAGGCCACTCTATTCTTTAAATAACTGTATATTATTGAAGAATTTACTGATGCCAGACAGTTCACCTAAGAGATGAAGAGGTTCCCTGCCAAGTAGGTGTTCTTTCTTAATGATAAATATCATATATAGTGATAGTTGTCAGAAATAGCTTTTGGTTTTAGTGGCTAAATTTGTAATGAAAAATTTAGAAACGTCCCAAAACTTTCCTGTTTGTATGTATATGTTTTAATGTATAAGAAAATTTAAAAATTTTCCCTTTTATGAATGTAGTTAATCTCATCATGATACCAATACTTAATTCTTTTTTTCCCCCAGAAAAAGATCGTTCAGAAGTTTACCAGAATTAAAAGATGCTGTCTTGGACCAGTATTCAATGTGGGGAAATAAATTTGGAGTATTGCTTTTTCTGTATTCTGTATTACTGACAAAGGTGTGTTCAAGAAGATGATTTTTCTGCCTTTGATTAATGTTGTTCAGTGCTGTTTTTCCTGCAGTGATGAGTAATTTTATTCCTGATGGTGTTTTTAAATTCTTAGAATAAAAATCTTTTACGTTGAAAATGAGTTAATTTCTGTTTCCTCAGCACTCACTCGTTGCTTAAGCAGTTTCACCTCTGCTCTTTTGGACTACAGAGATTATCAATAATGTTCTGGTTGTGAAATGCTGTCCTTTCTTCCAAATTGTGTTTCCTTTGATCCTTCCGTGTAGCACTTGACCCCTTAACCCCTTCTGGAAGCTGTTTTTGACCTTGATTCCATTTCTTGATTTTTTTTTTGAAAAATCACTGTGTGAGTTTTCTTTCTATAATGTCTCACGATTCTTATTTTGTTTTGTTTTCTTTGATAGCTTTGTTTCCTTCTTTATCTGTTACCTCCTGCTCTTTTCTCTCCTCCTCTAAATTTTTATAGTCCAGAAATTTTCTTCCCTGGATCCAGTATGCCTTTTATGGATATTTCATTTGCTCAGGTTACCTTTATATAGCTATTTAATAGTTCCAATATGTCCCCTTCTAGTCCTACTCTTTTTCCCCAAATACCAGTCTCATAGCTCTAGTAACGTGTTAGTCTCAGTTGACTATGCTATTAGATCTATCATGTCTGAAATCAAACTTCTTTTATTTGACAAATGTTTTTTGAGCGTTGATTGACTCTATGCTAGGGACTATGTCTGTATTAATAATATGGGATGCATTTTTAATGGTATCTATTTAGCATTGTAAAAAAATGGCACATTAATAATTCCATTATGGCAGTGTGTTTTGGCGTTTGGTCTTCTGTCTGAACCTATTAGATGGAATCAAGGGCATACTGTTTCTAGTAGGGACCATCTGACAGAGATAGGACCTTGATGCATGAGGGCAAGTTTTCTATATGGGAAAGCTGGAGGACATTTTTTCCAGCAGTGGGCACTGCAAGTATAAAAGTGTAAGGGATTGAGGGTATAATGCAGGTTTGGGGAGCTCTAAGTAGTTGAGCCTTACTGTAGCATAAGACACCAGAGAGGCAACTGTGGAAGATGAGACTGGGCACATATGTAAGAAAAGACTTAGAATATGAAGACCTTTCTATGTACACTGTACAAAGAGTAGGTTTCATCTGCTCAGAATTGGAACACAGTAAAAAGTTTGAACAAGGGAGTGACAAGATCTTTTTGTTGATAAAAGATATCTTAAATTGGGATAGGAGTTGTGATGGATGGAGTTGGTGTTTGTAATATAAGACTAGAGTCAGGAAAACTAGAAAATTGGGTATTGAAATAAGAGCAGCCTAAACTAGGACAGGTCATGGAATGGAAAACAAAAGGAGTATATTTAGAAATGTAAATAAATACCTATTTGGAATATTAAATGTAAATAAATAAGAGAACCCAAAGTGCTTAGTTGTGTAGATGTTCGGAGTAGCTGTGATGGTGGTATCTAAGATGACTGGTTTCTTATAAGCTCTTCTTGACTGTTCAGTATTCTCCAACTTTCTTATGCTCAAAACGTTTGATACCTCCTCTGTTTCTTCTTCTTTACAGCCAATAAATTATCATGCAAGTTGTCCTTCCTTGACCTGGTCTTTAAAATGGTATCCCCTTCCTCAGTAGTGATTGTGTCACTTGTTGATAGTATTCATCTTGACATTATCATAGCCTGATTTGTATTGTTTAGGAGGATGGCATATGCAAGAGCTCATGCTTCTTTGTTTCCCCCTGCGGGATTTAGTCATTCTTTAAAAATCTTGGTTGTTAATTAATCATCTATTTAATTCTTAGAAATGACCTCTAATATGATAGAAACAATGGCTAAAGTTAAGTGAATAGAACAATGAATAGCAGTTTATCTTTGTCCTTCTGGAATTGATGAGGTTACAATAAGTAGGTCTTCTTGTACTTATCCAGTATGTAGAACTTTTGGGAGTTGAGTGCCCTTCTGAAGGTTTAAAAAGTATCAGGAAATTGGTTTTTAAGAAAAGAAGGCACTTCCTGCCCTCCTAATTTGCATTTTGTCAGTATACATTTGAATGACCAACATTTGTGAGAAAGTACAATCAGAAGTAAACCTTCCATTTTATGTACCAGTTAAATAATTAAAACGCAAATTATTTAATGTTATATCTCTATCGATATTCATGTGTGTATGTATTTACTGCAATAAGTTTTTACATGATCTAAAAAAATCAGTTGCCTTAACAGGCTCATATTCATTTAACTTTTAAATAATTCATTTAACTATTAAATAATTTCTCCTTTCTCCTATTAAAAGTTAATTCTCTCTCCTTGCCCTTTTAACCAACGGTACATATTTCACCCATGAGTGTTGTTTATATAGAGCCCATGAAAGAAAATAAAAGATATTTGAGGAACTATTTTTTAAAGTTATCTCAAATGCACCCCCATTTCAAATCTGAGTTACTTGTGGTAGAAAAGTTACTTAAATAATTGTATTAGTTTATAGTGTAAACTAGTCAGTTTTTAAACAGTCATAATTTTCATTTTAGTTTTTTAAAATAAGTCAATGAATTCTGTTTCTTTAGGGCATTGAAAACATAAAAAACGAAATTGAAGATGCAAGTGAACCCTTGATAGATCCTGTATATGGACATGGCAGGTAATTAACTAAAATCTCTTGTCTCCTCATGTGAACTCCAGTTTTTAGAAACTTGACTTCAGATAAAACATGACTGAGTCAAGTAATTTTGTTTGTCAGTAGTGTTGACAGTACAACATGTATGGATTTGAGCACTTCTTTGTATTATGCATTGTTTGCTTGATGTATGAAATGTTAATTTCATTTTATGTATGCATTTATTGGGGCAAATATTTTGTTTTAAGATAACAGTGGGGAGGTATTTTAACAAATCCATTTGTAATTTTTTTAAATGAGAAAATTTATTCATTTTGACTTAGAAATAAGTATATCTTTGTAAGTGCTTCTCTGCTTGGGAGAAAAACATTCCCCATTTTCCTCTCGGACCACCCTCCTCAAGCTTTTTATGGCTATTTTTACCAAAACTCAATGAAACAGTGATAGTTAACCTACTCTAATACGTGAGTCCTTCTTTTTAGACCTTTCTGCCTGAAAGATGAAAGTTCATGTATCTTTCATCAAAGACAAAATATTAATAATTATATATTCATTTTTAAAGATTGTAAATATTAAGTAACTTATTAGTCTGTCATTTTTTATCCATTTAAATATATCTTAGATAAAGTTGTTAAATGTATGTGAATATGTAGAACAATAAATACCACTGTGCTGATATATTTGGTGATACATTTAGCAAGGCCGAATATATAAAATTGAAAATGTAAGGTTTTCCCTAACTTTGTAAATTCTTACATAATTTAATGTGAAAAGTCATTACTTTATACTTTGCTGTAGGAATTATTTGATTTGGCAACTATATTCATATTTAATTGCTTTTTAATATTTATTAATAGCCAAAGTTTAATTAATCTCCTGCTGACGGGACATGCTGTTTCTAATGTATGGGATGGTGATAGAGAGTGCTCAGGAATGAGTAAGTATATTCCTTGTTATGTTGCTCTCTTTGATGAATAATATTTCATTGGAATACAGCTGATTATTATTCGTCTATTTAATGGCTCTACATTACCTAGAGGTTAAGTGTTTTCTAATAGAAGAATCCTTTACAGTTTTCAAGGCACCATAATGTTAAGACCATTAATCTTGGAGCCAGGCAATCTTGGGTTCAAATCCCAAATGTATGACTTTAGTGAAGTTACTTCTCAGGCCTTTCATTTTCTGTGGTATAAAACTGGGATTTATGACTCTTAATATGTATAAACACAGTGCATATTTATTCAGAGATATTACTGCACTCTTTGCTTAAAATGGAGCATTACAAAGCCTGGTGGTGTGAAATACTTACTTTGGGTTTTTGCCTATATTACTTTTAATGTGCGTACTTTAAAACACCGAGCAAATTTAATACTGAGACTTTTAAATTACCAACTCTTCCACTACCACTTCCATTTCTGGTCTCAATTATTTCTTTCCTGTGGCTTCGTATGTTGTCAGGCACATTGAAATGGATCCCATTTTGGCCAATCCATTCCGTTAAGGAGAGCTGATACATAACTGAATAAAATTCCCTTCACTTTATTACTGGGTCAGTCTGAATTCATTTATTTATTCATTTAACTTACATTAAGTAACCACAGTGTGCCTCTCTGAAGTACGTAGCATAGGACACGAAGCTCCAGGGTTCCCAGAGCTCACAGTCAAACAGAGCAAATATAATTGAGAAAATAATAGTTACCACTTTTTGCTCCCATTGAAGTGATTCATGATCTTCCATTTGAATTTTTCTCAAATTCAGAAATGTGTAGTTAATTAACAGAAACATGAAAGGGCATAATATTAAGGAAAAAATCAGTAAAATTAAAACTTCAGAATTAAAAAGCACCACAGTACAACCCGTTTTACTGTTTAAAAAATTTAAGAACTAAGTTCACTTCTTATTTAATTCATATGCAAAATTATTTACTTAGTGGTGAGGTTAGAATGAGAGCCAAGTTTTGGTGATTTCTAGTAAAGGTCAGAGTTTAAACAGTGAAATTCGTGAACAAAAAACTACAAATTATCTTGCTCAGCTCTCTTTAATTGAGATCATCCTATTCTTCAACCCTTAATCTGATTCATAGCTGAAAGCATTTAATCCTGTCAATGAAAAAAAAAATCTCATTTCAGTGTCTCTTGGGTAATATACAGGGTTTTTTGGTCTCTCTGTTTCTCTGTCACCTGTGATGGCTTCTGTACACTCCCGTCTTTCTTCTTCTTCCAGTTGTTTCTGGACCCCCAGGTATCTTATCTCATATGATTAGGGAAGCAATAGGTTCTTGCTGAACTTGGGTTGAGGTGCCTCATCCCACTTGGCCCTCTGTCCTTGATACTTCTTACTGTGTGCTCTGGCCTGACCCTTCCCACACTGTCTTTAGCGCATCACTCTCTCTCACACTTGGTACTCATCAGTGTGGTTCATCTTTCTACGCGTTCTCCGGATTCTCGATAGCTTACCCTAGTCCCCAAACCAGAATACTCTTCTGCCTCCCTAGGCTCTTCCTCACCCAACCTCTCGTAGACTGAGATGAGATAACTTTCATTGGCAGGACTAACAGTCAGAATGAGGTTTCAAGAATAGGAGGCTCCATGTCCGGGCACGGTGGCTCATGCCTGTAGTCCCAGCACTTTGGGAGGCCGAGGTGGATGGATCACCTGAGGTGAGGAGTTCGAGACCAGCCTGGCCAACACAGTGAAACCCCGTCTCTACTAGAAATACAAAAATTAACCAGATGTGGTGATGCATGCCTGTAGTCCCAGCTACTCAGGAAGCTGAGGCAGGAGAATTGCTTGAACCCGGGAGGCGGAGGTTGCAGTGAGCTGAGATCATGCCACGGCACTCCAGCCTGAGCAATAGAGCGAGACTCCATCTCAAAAAAAAAAAAAAAAAAAAGAAAAGGAGGCTCCTTAGGCAGCTCTTGACGTGAAGTCGTTACTTCCTGTACAGAATATATTAGTCAATTATCAGTTTCGGTTCTTGAGATGTACACATATGTCGTTTTTGTTCCTTGAAATAGTGCTTTTCAAGGCTGTCATCTTGCTGTGGACCTTTTTTCTGTATAGTTTAAAAGCCAAAACTAAGCAATAACTTTGAAATAGCTAACTTGGAAAAGAAAATTGGGTATATTTCTTGCATTTTGGAATGTTTGTTTGAAGCGAATGTTCAGTCATCAAACTTAAAAATGAGAAAAATACCCCATTTATATTTCACTGAACCTTCTTGGTTTTTCCTGGATAACACATAGTACACATTTTCCCTCCCACTGCCAGGCTGATTATTGCTAGAAAAGAAACCTCATTACAAGTTTCATTGGTTGGGCGTACTCTAAATTAATCCTACTTAAACTCATTTAAACTCTTACTGCTGACTGCACATTGTAACCCTTTTTTCTACTCCTCATAACTCCTTTATCTACCACTGCTTGAGGCAGTGAATTCAAATCCCTTCTCCTCTTTATCTGTCTCTAACTTTACCTCTGCCCACTCACTCTCAGCTGACTTTAGAATCTCAAGTTGTCTTTTTTCAGCATATTCTTTTTTCCTGTTTTAGAAGAACTATATATCTTTCCAGAGTTACTGTTGATTCCATTTACGGTCTCTGCTATTAAATGTGATTCTCTTCCCTGGTCTACACAAAATTTAGGTGGCTTCTACTGCCTAAAACAAAAATCGTGATGTGTAACGACCAGGCCACAAACCTCTTTCTCTCCATCCTTTCACCAGCAGAATTTCCTTGCCCGCATCGCTAAAATATTTACTCTCTATGATCTGAAATCTGTGTCATTTGTTCTTCTAAAGCAAAGACCTCACTACCTGCGAAAATCGTAGCCTTTTTCCTACCCCTCATTCTCCCTGAAGGTGGCACACTGCATGGCTCATTTACTAACTCTGTACCACGGACAGAAATCTTTGGATTAAAATCTCAATCTCAGCTTCTTCTCTATGAATGGGGCAGATATCTGCCTCTCAGGTGTACTGTGGAATTTAAAGAAGATGAACTCCCATGCCATCTCACATATGTATTACAGCACTCAAGACTAACATGTAGTGTAAGAGGCAGTGTATCATTAAGTATGTTAGCTGTGTGGAATTAGACTACTGTGGTTGGAATCTCAGTTGCGCCATTTATTAAACTGTGTGGAATTAAACAAGATGCTTCACTCAGTGCCTCTTTCTCATCCTCCAACGGGAATGATTATCACAGGATAGTTAGAATGAGGTGAGAAAATGGCAAAAAAGAGATATTCATCAAGTCCTTGAGCACTGTTCAATACATGTTTGCCACTGCTGCATAATGAGCACTCTTATCAACAACTGGTTCTCAAACTTGTCTGCACATCACAATTAACTGGGAGAAATTTAAAATCATCAGTAGTTGTAACTGCCCTTTATAGAAAATTGAAACACTTGAGGGCAGACATTGGTTATGCAGCTTGCCATAATGTTTTCTGATGTTACTTTATTCAACAAGCTTTATTTGAAAACCTGCTAGTTATTTGTACCTTACTGTCATGTATCTAATGAGTTGCTGAGTCTTCGAGATTCTCCATTCTCGAAATTTGTCTCACAGAGGCCAAGTGGTACCGCAGGACACTGTGCCATGGTGGAACAAGCAGAGGCCTCGGGTGTGGCGATGGCACCAGTTAGTTTATGCCTCTGCTGTTTGACGGTGGGCAAACTGCTAAATTATCTGAGCCTCGGTTTTCTTACCTGTGCATTGAGGTTAAAAATACACATATTCATATATGCTGCCTAGCGCAAGCACAGAAATGCTAGCTGCTCCCTTTTTTCTTCCTTTGCCAAGTCTGTTGTGGTCTCATTACTCTCACCTGTCTAGACTATCATGCTATAGCTTTCTGTCTGTCATTCCACTCCAGTATATTCTGCAAACTGACAAGTTAATGATTTTATTTTACACGTCCTGTTAGGTTATTTCTCTGCTCAGTGCCTTCAATGACTCTCTTGCTAATGCTTGCCAACTAAAGTTTCAGCTTCTTAGCATTCAAGAGCCTCTGTGTTCGTACTCAACCCTATGTTTATAATCTTTTACTAGTCTCCTTCACAAATCCAGTGCTTTAATCCACTGGTTCTCAAACTTGGCTGCACATCACGATTAACTAGGAGAAATTTAAAATCATATGCCAAGGCCACACCACCTAGAGATTGTAATGGAATTGTTGTCAGCTGGAATCTGGGCATTCATATATTTTTAAGCAAGTGATATTGTGTAGTCAGGGTTAAGAACCACTGTTCTATTCAGACGGCTCTGCCTCCCGGTCGTTAAAAACAATGGTACTTTCCCCAAAATGTCATCCTGCTCATTCCATCTGGCCCCATTAAAATGTTAACTCCCATTTAATGTCTCTCCACTTAACCCCGACAGCAGGAAAAGTTTTCTCCTCCCTCTGATCATCTATGGTGCTTTACCTCAGTCGGCTTCATTCTATTACACCTCGCATCATAGTTCTTTGTGTACATGTTCTTGCTTCTGTAAACGAGGTGCCTAGGCTTTTGAGGGAAACTGAATTTTTTCTGTGGGCCAGTGTAGGCATTTTGGAAATAGGATCTTAATCTTTACAACAACCCTTCAAGGCAAGTATTACTCCATATGTTATGAAGAAGGAAACTGAAGCCTAGAGAGGTAAAGCAGCTTACCTAAGGATTTTCAACGAGTAACTATTTAATTGTAATTTTTCTTTCTATATTGCCTGCCTCCTACTATGTTGTCAGAGCAGGAAACAAGTCCAGTAAATGCTGAATGAATGTATGTCTCATGTTAGTAAACGTATTTTTTTCCTAGTCTGTTTTTTGCCTTGAGTTTCCTTATGGTAAACAGTTAGATTGTTTCCATTTTTAGCTATAAGAAACTGCTGTAGTAAACATGTTTTGTATATACGTCTTTCCTTATATAAGTATACCTACAGGTTAGATTTCTAAAAGTAGAAAGTGTATTAAAATTTTAGGCATCTGTTAATTTTTTTTTTTTTTACTTATAGCTTTATTGAGATACTCACGTATGCATGTCACCCATTTAAAATGGACAATTCAGTATTTTAAATATTTTCTCAGAGTTGTTTAGCCATCACCACAATCAATTTTAAAAAATTTTGTCATCTTAAAAAGAAAGCCTGTCCTCCTTATACTTCCTTCCACGCCAGCCCTAGCATCCGCTCATCTACTTTCTCTCTATAGATTTACCTGTTTGAGATGTTTCATAGAAATAGACTCATACGCTATCCGGTCTTTGGTGACTGATTGATTTCACTTAGTATAATATTTTCAAGGTGACCATGTTTTAGCATGTACCAGTACTTCACTCCTCTTTATTGATGAATAACATACCATTGCACAAATATACCACATTCATTTGTTCGCCAACATGTGGAGTGTTTCCACTTGGCCATTATGAGTAATGCTGTGAGGTACATTCATGTACAAGTTTTTATGAGATGTATATTTTAGTGTTTCTTTGCCATAGACCAAGGAGTTGAAATCCTGGGTCATACGGTAACTCATAAGGTTTAACTTCTTGAGGAACATCTGTTAAATTTTGATAGATAATGCCAAATGTCCTTCTAAAATTTGCTTTATCAACTGGTAAAAGTATAAACTTATTCTTTGAAGTGTGTAGGAGAGTTCGTATTTTTCTGCATCCTGCCTGACACTTAGAATTGTCCATCTTTAACATTTTGTCAGTTTGTTGACAAGTGATAGGCTGTTTTAATTCACATTTCTCTGGTGCTCATTGAGCCTGAGCTTGATCATCTCTTCACGTGTTTGTGAGTTTTGAGTATTCTTCTTCTGTGAATTACCTCTTCCCATCTTTTTGGCTTTTGGGGAGGAGGAGTTATTTTCTTTTGTTCAGTTTCTAGGAGCTCTTTATAAATTCTCTTAGTTCTTCCTCTGTTTGACCTGTGTTGCAAATATTGTCACCCAGCC
Organism: Homo sapiens; assembly: GCF_000001405.40. Classification (NCBI taxonomy): domain Eukaryota; kingdom Metazoa; phylum Chordata; class Mammalia; order Primates; family Hominidae; genus Homo; species Homo sapiens. The sequence goes on along the minus strand of NC_000010.11, from coordinate 15,827,627 downwards.
TTCTCTTTCTTGTTAACTTTGTTAATGATATATTTTTTTATATCCAAGGCTTTTATTTATTTATTTATTTATTTATTTATTTATTGAGACGGAGTCTCACTCTGTCACCCAGGCTGGAGTGCAGTGGCACGATCCTGGCTCACTGCAACCTCTGCCTAACCCGGGTTCAAGCAATTCTCCTGCCTCAGCCTCCCGAGTAGCTGGGATTATAGGTATATGCCACCATGCCCAGCTAATTTTGTATCTTTAGTAGAGACGGGATTTTACCATGTTAGCCAGGCTGGTCTCGAACTCCCAACCTCAGGTGATCCGTCAACCTCGGCCTTCCAAAGTGCTGAGATTACAGGCGTGAGCTACCGCGCCTGGCTGGCTTTCATATTTATGAGGTTAAATCATTTGGTCTTTTTTTTAGATGGCTTCTATTTGGGCTTTTTTTTTTTTTTTTTTTTTTACTCCTGTTATATCAATTTTATGTGTCTCCCACCCCCAGATTTTTTATTTTCATTTTTTAGAGACGGGGTCTCGCTCTGTCACCCAGGCCATAGTGCAGTAGTGCAGTCATAGCTCACTGCAGCCTCTAAATGGGCTCCAGTGGTCCTCTTGCCTCAGTCTCTCAAGTAGCTGAGACTACAGACGTGCACCATCATGCCCGGCTCCACCCCAAGATAATATTCTCTAGTATTTTCCAAAAATGCTTTTGTGGGCTTTTTGTTTTTTAATGTTTGGCTCTTTAGTCTATCTGGATTTTGTATTTATGAATGGTATGAGTTTGGGATCTGCCTTTTGACTTTTTCTCAAAGAATTATCTAATGTCCTAATTCCAGTCAGTTCTCCACAGATAGGAAATACGTTTTTTGTTGAACACATTTTTCCATATTTACATGTTTTTATTCTATTCCACTGATCTTTTTGTGACTTCTTATGCAAAACTTCACAATTACATAGTTTTATAATATACTTTGATATTCATTAGCATGTTTCCTGATGTTATACTTTTACAAAATTGTCATAGTCTTTTCTACATTATCTATTCCAGTTGAACTTTCCTCCCAGCTCTTCAAGTTCCAGTTTTAAGAAATCTTTGAAGATTTGGATTGGTTACATTATATTTGTAGGTTATTTTGAGGAAATTATATCTTTACATATTATCTTCCCAACTAGATTGTTTTGTACATTCTTTAGTGAAAAATATTCAGTGTTTTATATAGATTATATGGTCCTGAATCCATATACTTGATTCTACCCCAGTTTTTGAAACCATCTTTTGCTTCTCCAATAGAACAGAAATAAGCTGCAGTAGAACTAATCAAATTAAATGCATTCTTGCCCACTCTTTCACAGGGGCTAGTGTGATATTTTTCAAACTCAGTGAGATCATGTTTCTCTCTCCCTTAAAACCATTCGATGGCTGGCTTCCCTACGCACTTAAAATAAAATCCAAACTCCTTCTAAGGTTCTCAGATCCTTTTGTGGTCTTTCTCCTCTCTACCTGCCATCCATCTTCATTTCGTACTATTCCATGTATGTTGAGCTAAAGTTTTCTTTGATTTTGATTTTCTGTAGATTAATTTTGTCATGGTCTCTTTTTTATCTTAAAGGAATTCTTCAGTATTTGTACATTATTTTTGTCCATATTGTTTATTTATTTTTGTATGCTTATTTGATGATTATTTTTATTTTATAATTTTCTTTATGGGATAGGGATAGAAGAGTCAACTCTTGTAATTCAGAAACCCAGAAGTTTCTTGGTTTTTTGTGGGTTTTTGTTTTGTTTTTATAAAAAGAAATCAGTATTACAGCCAGTCAAATGCATAGCTAATTGAAAGATGATGGACTCATACACAGAATAATGCATATGTTAATTAGCTCAGTTTAGCCATTCTACAGTGTATACATATTTCAAAACATGTTGTACACGGTAAATATATACAACTTTAATTTGTCAATTATAAAATAAACAGAAACGGATATTATAGTTAGGCCAAAAAATAGTCATGTTTCTCTGGTGCTTGTCTGGTTATATTCCACTTAATATGTGGAACTCCTAAAAATGCAGTCAGAAACTGAATGAGTTTTGATGGTTTGTTTCATTCTCTTTTATATAAGATAATCAGTTAGGCTGGGTGTATTGGCTTGTGCCTTTTAATCTCAGCAGTTTGGGAGGCCAAAGCGGGAGGATCACTTAAGGCCAGGAGTTTGAAACCAACCTGGGCAAGAAGGCAAGACACCGTCTCTGATAATAAAAGATAGTAAATTAATTCTGGCAAAGAAAACAAGAATATAATCACAAAGTAATTTGAATTTTTTTGCAAATGTAGAGTACATGCTTGGGACCAGAAGCATTTAAGATTTCGATTTTTTTCAGATTTGGAAATATTTGCATTTTTCCTCACCAGTTTAGCATCCCTAATCTGAAAATCTGAAATCCAAAATGCTGTAATGAACATTTCCTTTGAGAGTCATGTTGGCTCTCAGAATGCTTCAGATCTTGGAACATTTCGGATTTCAGATTTTCAGATTAGGAATACTTGAAAATAGACACTTTCAAGGCTTATTGAGAAAGTCTCCTACAAATAAATTCTATAAATCGTAACATGTGAGAATATTAAATCCTCACTGTATTACAACTTGGCATAAAAGTAAATTTTCCTAGTGTGATGCTCTTGAAACTATCATAAGAAGGTAAAAATGTTAAGTATATATTCTGTTTAAGAAAACAGGCATAATACATTTTTAAAATAATTACCATCCAGACTAGATGTCTAAGCATGTGTTTACTGATCAAATCTAAATAGTTCATTACCCAAGAATTATGAACAACTAGTTTGCTGTATTTAGTAACATGATATTATTATTAGACATTTGTTTAAAAGTCCAGGGAAATAGATGATGTAGTATCTAATTGTAACACTAGGTGGTGGTAACTGATTTTAGAAATTAAATTGTGAAACTGTTTCCCAATGTATGTATTCTTTTTTACATGAAAACATTTAGTGTTGCTTACATTTAAGAAGGAAAGGGAGAGAAAAGTTTGCGAAGATATGAAGTATCCATTTATACCTATTTGGGCTGTTCTTCTCCTCTCCCTTGTTTTGCTTTAACCTGAAGATTCTAAAACCTTTTAATCTCATGCCCTTTACACTCTTACGGATGATCCCAAAGCAAATAATCAATGTTTTTCATGTTAAAGATTGAGAAATTTTTAAATACGTATTAATTCACTTTAAAATAACAGGTATATGAAAAAATGTTCAACATCACTGATCATGAGAGAACTACAAATCAAAACCACAATGAGATGTCATCTTACCCCAGTCAGAATGGCTGTTAAAAAACAACAAAAGTGTGGCGAAGATAGAGAAAAGAGAACTCCTATATGCTGTTGGTGGGAATATAAACTTGTACAGCCACTATGGAAAACAGTATGGAGATTTCTCAAAAAACTAAAAATAGGATTACCAGATCCAGCAATCCCACTACTCAGTATCTACCCAAAGACAAAGAAATCAGTATATCAAAGGGATACCTGCACGTGCATGCTAATTGCAGCACCATTCACAGTAGCAAAGCTAGGGAATCAACCTAAGTGTCCATCAACAGGTCAATGGATAAAGAAACTGGAATTCTATAAACAATAACAAAGAATGAAATCCTGTTATTTGCAGTATACGTGAATGGAACTGGAGGTCATAATCTTAAGTGAAATAAGCCAGGAAGAAAAAGACAAAATCACACGCTCTTACTTATATGTGGGATCTAAACAAATTTGATCACATGGAGGTAGAGAGTGGAATGATAGATAACAGAGACTGGGAAGGGTCAGTGGCAGGCGGTGGGAGAAGCATGAGGGGAGTGGGTTAGAGTACAAACATACTGTAACATGGAGTAAATTCAATATTTGATAGCAGAGTAAGATCACTATGCTTAAGAAAATTGCATTGTACTTGAGCAGTGGATACTCTTCATACCCTGGCTTGATCATTATGTAGTATATGTGTTTAAAGAAATTTCACTTTTACCTCCTAAATTTGTAGAAATAAAACATAATTTAGAAAAAAACAAAATATACTCATTAATATTAACATAAATAACATTTTTAATAAACTTAACAAAAATTAAGGAGAGTGACGTTGTTTTAAATTTTTGCAAATCCCTTTAATGCTTGGCTTATTAGTAGACAGCCGGATCTTCATATATGCTTATAAATTTAGTCTGATACAATATAACAGATCAACCTCTGTAAAACTCTGTGCTTATGAGAGAGTAAGTGTAAAAAGGTAATTAACATCATATTATGAAAATCATGTTGATCTCACGTAGTCTCTAAGAGGGTCTTGTGGTCCCTGAGGAATCCTAAACCACAATTGAAGAACCATTGCTCTACCTGATCTGTGCCTGTAAGAAGCTAGTGACAAAGTATAAACTGTATGTATATGCACCTTCTATTAATTTTGGATTTACCAATCCAGAAAGTTAAACTGTCAGCTCTTGCCTTACACCATCTAGATGTTGTAGTTAAGGCTACACAGTAAAATGTTGGCCACAAAAATAACAGAGTTAATATTCTTACTACATTCATTGATAAGAAAATATATCCTAATGGAAAAATGGACAAAACATGACCAGATGGTAAAAAGGATGCAAAATTATATATGCATTATGTTTACAGTGAACATAATTTTTACCCAGAAAGAAATGCTTTTTAGATATATTATGGACCCAAATATATTATTATATTAATGTATGTTAGCTGAAGGGTATCGTTTATGAAAAGACTTTATTATTATCACATTTTTATTCCCTGCGTTGTGTCTGTTCTGACTTACCCACTTCCATAACTTTAACTCTCATCTCTATGCTGATGATTCCCAAATCTTTATCTCCAACCCTGACGTTTCTCTCCTGTATTCCTGAGCCTTACTTCCGGCTATTTATCCCTCTCTAGCTAGAGCACGTAAAGGTACCTCAATCCCAGCTTAGCTAAAACCAAACTCATGTTACCTCTTCACACGAGTCCAGAACTTACTTCTTAATTCTTTGTGTTAATCACTATTTATCATGTCCCCCCAGACCAGAAACATTTAAGGAAACTTTGCCAAATTCTTCATTCCTTAAATGCATCGATTTTTCATACCTGTTTGTTGTTTCTTCTGCTTTGAATTTTCTTGTCATCCTCTTTTTGGCCTGGAGAACTGTAATACGCTTCAAGATTCAACTCCCTGTTATCACTTTTATAAGCCTTCCCTAACACTGTAGGCAGATACTCTCATACCACTCCGTGTGTGTGTGTGTACAGAGAGACCACATATGTTTTTTTCATCTGTCGTCTTTGGTAAAGTCATAGCCTTTCTAAGGCAGAGATCATTTTCTATTCTTCTTTATTTCCCCAGTCTGAAGCACACAGCCTGTGTTTATAGGAAAGAGGGATGGCATTAAATGTCCATGTTTTAAGTATTAGGCAAGTGGAGTCACTGCTACCTAATGATAAATTTTACCAGTGATTAGCATATCCATTTGTTTTTCAAAATCAAAGTCAATTCAAGTTAGCCCTTTTACATAGGTATTGAGTCTCTTTTTCTTCTTGTATTTTTGTCAACAATGGCATGGATTTCAGGGAGTAAATTCTCTCATTTAAAAAGTTAACATTGAATATCAAGTTTTATAAATACATTTAATATACATCTAAAGCATCACATTTACCCACCACAAACCTGATCTAATGGTATTTTATAATGAGCAGTACTGTAATGATTACATGCTAAGTTTTAAAGTATAGTTTTGGGTAAAAGTTAAAAGTTTTGGTGTAGTATAAATATATATACATATAAGTACGTTTCAAATTTATACACACTACTACAATGCTAAGTTTTCGTTTTTTGTTGTTGTTGTTGTTTTTTGCAGAACTTCTTGGTATACATGAACAAGCAGCAGTAGGATTTTTAACACTAATGGAAGCTTTAAGATACTGTAAGGTAAATTGATTTTTAAGGTACTTTGAATGTTTTTTGTTTAGATGTCCACTATTGTGGATACTGTTTTGTTCCTCTGACAGCACATTTGAGCACAGCACTATGGTTCAGTACCGCTCTCTTCTTCCTTCCTATCCCCCACCCTAAACCAGCAGGGTTATTAAGTGTGGTTAAGCCAGCTGATTATGCTGAGTTTCCTATGCTAGGTCTGTTGTTATTTTTGTCGGAGGAGGGGCAGAACCCAGTACAAAATAATTCAAAAAAGCCACAGACATCTATTATTGAATATGAATTTATTTTTGGCAAAATGAGGATGAAGAAAGCACTGTTTCTTTATTACCTAACGAAGAATATGCTTCACTAAAACAACTGGTAATACTTTATTAGGCAAAGAGAAAGAATTGCCAGATGCCTGAAATTCTGACTTTTATCTATTCCATCTGAAAAATGATTTCACACTGAAAAAAATTTCAAGCATTTTACAACATTAAACTCTTTGACACATGCACTAGGGTTAGGAACTGCCATGGAACTCTCATTTATTGCTGTTTATTTCATTCTCCTCCTACACAATCTGAAACAACCTGAAATGGGTATTGTAAATAGTTTTAAATGGAATTTAAACCATTATTGACTTGCACTTCGTAAGATGTCATGATTTGGGAGAAAGAAGTAGATCTAGTTTTCTTTTTCATTAAAAAAATTTTTTTAAATAGAGACAGGGTCTTGCTATGTTGCCCAGGCTGGTCTCAAACTCTTGACCTCAAGTTATTCTCCTACCTTGGCTTCCATCCCTAAGTGCTGGGATTACAGGCATGAGCCTAAGGCACCTGACCTTCCTTTTCTATTTTAGAACAGGGTTCCATAGCAGGGGTTCAGATGGTGATAATTATATGTAATAACGATAATCATGGTTGATCCTCTTTTTCGTCAGACAGCGTTCCTTTTTCATGTTTCACTTGAACACTGGGTGATATGCATATGATAATCAAATTGGATTTGTCCTGCCCTTACTCCTTTAGTAGTGATCATATGGTTAAACAGTATTTTCAGTGACTTTTATCTTCGGTGACTTTAATTGTGTAAACTAAAGCTATTCTGAAACAGCCTGGCAACTAGAGAATCAAAGTGTGTCCCCTTCCCCCTAACACATATACACACACATTCGTAGATCCTAAAGAAAGTTAAGCATGGAGGCGGGGGGTGGGGCAAGTGGGATGTGCACGCATGCCTGCGTCTTGTATGAGGCTAGGGGGTGGAGATTTTATATTTGGAAATATTTCCTGTGTATCCCTTAAGACCCTGGTGGTCTTTGCAGTTGCGTTGCTTTCTCTACTGCTGTGCTCCAGCCACACTGGTCCTCTCACTTTCCCAGACACGCCGAGCCCTCTCCAGTGCTTGCTGTCCTCTCTGCCTGGAGTTGTCCAGCTCTTGAGATGGATGGCTCACTGTCCCCTTCAGGCTGGACTGCAGATCGTACCTCAGAGACTTTTTTCTTGACCACTCCCTCAGATATTCTTTTCCACAATATTTAATAGGAATAATTAATGACACTTTTTGTTTACTTTTCTTTTTAAATCTTGAATTTGCTTTTCTATTGTCTTCCCTAATGGAATATAGACTCTGGAAACTGGGACATTGCTAGGTACATATTAAGTGCCAGGTGCTCAGAAATATTTGTTGAATGAATGAATGGACGTATTCACCAGAATTGTTTGGTTTTCTAGATGTAGGCTTTACTTTGCTTTAATTTTTAGGTAGAACAGAAGAACGTTTTTCCCCTCAAGATCTTAGTGGGAAGTCAATCGCTGCTGTGTATTCTTCTGTTTACATATTGCTGTAGTGTTTTAGCAGTTAACTATGGTTTTAAATGAGATTTAAGGCTTCTGCTAATGGCACAACAAAACACACTAACACTTGGATAGGTGAAAGGCAAAACTCTGTTCCTTCCAACTGCAAATGAGGGAGGGAAGCCAGGCAGGGCCACATGCAGGATTGCATCTGGGGACTGGGGTACAGCAAGCTGGAGCCATTAGGAGCAGCTGATGTACCTGAAGTAGGATGGGGTCAGCTAGATTGCCTGAGCTCCCCTGTGGATTGGCTAATTTGGATAACTCTGGGGGGCTCTTGGGTTATCCCTAGTAGTCTGTCTGGTACCTGACTCCAGGGTGATTAGGGTGATCCCTGGAGTGTGGGAGACCTATAATGGTAGTGGCTGGAATAAGAACTTAATTAGCTATCTTTTGCAAGGGAATGACTGGCCTCTAGCCAGGGCCTCAAAAGTGAGTCAAGACAGCATTTTTTGAAAAACTATATTACGCTACAGTGTTCATCTCTCTCTAACTTCTCAAATTCTGTGTATATTTTACATTTACTTTCTATGAGATGCTTGGAGGAATGGCATTAAGGAAGTCATTGAGCTTGTGTTAATTTTGTAAGTCTGAACATTTCCCCGTGCTTTGATAAGTGTAGCAGATTTCCCTTTAAAGATGAAATTAACATTTTGCAATATCATTTTGATTATACATGCATTAATACAATTAAGGTGATGAAATAATCTCTTTCTCCCTCCTGCACTCTCCCTCTCAACACACACGTACAAACCCAACAAAGAATAAGGTGGCTATGGCTACTTTTGACTCTACTTTTTTAAAAAAGATAGATTTATAACTCACATACCAGGAGATTCACCATTTTAAAGCATACAATTCAGGGCTTTTTAATATATTCACGATGCAATGCAACCATTACCCCAATCTAATTCCAAAATGTTTTCCTTACCCACAAAAGGAGCTCTAAACCCATTAGCAGTCCCATGCTCCTCCCACTCAGCCCCTGGAAACCACTACTCTTGTTTCTGCCTCTGTGGATTTACCTCTTTTGTACATTTCATACCAATGGAATCATGTAGTATATAGCCTTTCGTTTCTGGCTCCTTTCACTTAGCATGGTGTTTTCATTGTTCATCTCTGTTTTTTACATGTGTTAGTATTTCATTCCTTTTTATGAGCAAATAATATTCTTTTGTATGTTAAACCAATTTTATCTGTTCATCAGTTGGGTTGTTTCTACTTTAGCTGTTATGACTAGGGCTGCTGTAAACATTGATGTACAAATTTTTTGTGTACATGTTTTTATTTCTCTTTGTATATACCCAGGAGTGAAATTACTGGTCATACAGTAATTCTATTTTTAACTTTCTGAGGAAGTGTCAAACTGTTGTCCAAAGTGATGACACTTATTTATGCATTCAATATATTTTTACTATTACAAAACATTTCATGAGTTTAGCATTCATTTATTCTTTGATCTTATCCTTTGTTTGTTTGTTTTTTTTTTTTACTTCTACCTTAATTTAAATACACACTTTTTCTGAAAGAAAGGTTAATATCTAATCTCTTCACCACACGAGGCACCATGTGATGTGATGGAAATCCATCAGAGTAGATAGAAGTCAGAAAACTTAAGTCCTAATTCTAGCTCTGTACTATTTAGTTGCCTGAGATGAGACCAGGCACAGATCCTGTGTATTTCTCTGGTTCCTTATGTATAAATTGAAGGACTTGCACAGCTCACCTCTAAAATCCTCGTCCACTCTGGAACTGTGATTTTATCTTTCCCTCTTTCTTTGTTCCTTTTCTTTTATTCTTCTCTGCTGTTCCCAAACCATCCTTCCTACTTTACTGGCTCAACATTGCCACATTAGCACATCTAACTCATCCCTCCCATCATAGGACAAAAATACTAGTTTCTCTGTCCATGGATACAAAAGAGTACCTATTTTCCACTTCCCTCCTAGTGATAAGAATAAATTCCACAGGGCCAGGGTGGTGGTTGAAGCAGGGGCTGCTGGCTGATTAGGAAAGAATTTTTGGCCTGACTGCCACAAACAGCCACTTGGAATTCCCCAATTATAGGCAGTCTGTAAGAAAAAGGAAAATGCAGCAAATTGTATTGCTAAGATTCGTCATTTTTAAGTTAAAGTTTCTGTCTTCATATGAGAGTGGAATTGAGTGGTGTGAACGTGTTGGGTTTCATAAGTCTATTCTGTTTGTTTAGTATTAAACTTTTTTTTTCTCAGTCACACACACACAATCGTGTTCTCAAGTTTTTGGTATAGTAATGTTCACAGATTATGTAACCTTGAGAGCAGAGTACAAATACAGCTTTTTATACATTTTAAAGAGACTGTTCATACTGTGAAACTTTGAACCTACCTTCTATCATGAAGAGTCAAATAACAGGACACTTACATACTTAAATGGTTTAAATTGTAATTTTTCTTGATTATTTGGGAGCAAAGATGTTCTTTCCCTTTGATTATTCATAAATCTACTCATTTGATAAACTATAATTATTTTCCTTATAAAGTTATTATCGTCAAGTTTATAGTTTTAGGGTTTGAGGTTTCATGCTGAAATTCTAAGAAGTGGTCATTTTATCTAGGAACTTTAGCAAAACCTGAGAATGACTCTTAGGGCTAAATAGTTATCTCCAGCTGTGTTAAATCTATATTGTTGTTGTTTTAATGTCAAAGCACAATATAAGCTCAGTACTGACAGTCTTCTAACACTCATTTTTACATTCAGCATTTGATCTCTATGGGTGAAGTGCTCGGGCACAATACATTATTTCAGTTAAATACAAATTGGACACTTTATGCTTCAGATATTTATGGGCAAATAAGAGGCAGTATAAATTTTTAATTTGTTTATTTGTTTTATTTTGCTACATTTGTTCTAGGTTGGTTCTTACTTGAAATCTCCAAAATTCCCTATTTGGATTGTTGGCAGTGAGACTCACCTCACCGTATTTTTTGCCAAGGTATGCTTATAGCAGGATTTTTTTTTAAGTTATGACATCAGGCAAACAAGTATTATAAGTTCATATTTGGTTTGGATCTTTGTGCAAACTTCAGTCTATTCCCACAACAAATGAATTGTTCAAAAATCTCAAAAACTAATACTGAAGAACATACTGTTTTCGTGCTCTAAATCTGGAATCTTTTAATCAAAATCTATCATGATTTAGTTATAATTTCTTCTTCTTTCTTTAGAGCTTTAGCTTTTGATTTTTTTCAGAAATCACTTGTGTTATAGAGAAAACAATTGAATTTTAAAGTTTTAGATTGCTTTTTTTGTAAGTAGGATAAAAGATTTATTTAACTTAGATGATACATGATATAAAATGTTTTAATTACAGCATCTCCTTTGAAAAAATTTTAAAATCTATTAATAATTCAATGGTATTAAAGTCAAATGCTCTTTTAAGATGGAATACTTCCCACAATTTTAATATATACCTGATTACAATATTGAAATAGCTGAAATATATCTGAATATTTCTTTTCTTGTCTTTTTTATTTTTTTTCTTTTTCATTTTTTTTTTTTTTTTTTTTGAGATGGAGTCTCACTGTGTTGCCCAGGCTAGAGTGTAATGTCACAGTCTCGCCTCACTGCAACCTACGTCTCCTGGGTTCAAGCGATTCTCCCACTTCAGCCTCCCGAGTAGCTGGGACTACAGGTGCATGCCACCACACCCAGCTAATTGTGTTTTTAGTAGAGACAGTTTCGCCATGTTGGCCAGGCTGGTCTCAAACTCCTAACCTCAAGTGATCTGCCCACCTCTGCCTCCCAAAGTGTTGGGATCACAGGCGTGAGCCACTGTGCCCCGCCATATCTGAATATTTCTATTTCAAAATTCTTATAACAAAGCTATTTTTAAATCTCAACTATAATCTGTATATCATGTTTTTCCACAATTGAGTGGTTAAGAGCTTTGGCCTCAGACGACTTTGGTTTTAATCCCAGCCTTGCCACTTCTTAACATCTCTCAGCCCCCTTTCCTGTGTCTTTAAAATAGGGATTCATAATAGTACCTAGCTTTTAGAATTGTTGTCAGGCTTAAATACAAAGTATTTAGCAGTGCCTAGTACAAATTAAATGCTGAGTAAATTTTAGCTGTGGTCATCGTCATCATCATCATCATCATCATTTTTAGTATTCAAGAAACATACGTTAAACATCTCTGGGATCATAGGTAACTTGATAGGTTGCTGAATGTTCGTAGGAAGATACAGAATTGTATTTTAGAGGTTTCTTCATTGTGATGTGCTTTCCTGATTACTCCTTGAGCTTTTTGAGCATGTATAGTCAATGAAAGTTTATTATTTGTTTCTGTAGAAAGTACAAGTGGTATAAATTATACTCTAGTCTGAATTGACAATGCTAAGTTTCGTGAATGTAATTATGTCTTACTGTATTTACTTTTATTGTGTTGGCAAAAGTCCAGATAGGGGTTATAGAGCAAGATACATAATTGCCTTTTCTCAAGCACGGAAAGCTTTAAAATTAAATGCTAAAAGTACAGAGTTACTGATACATTGCATTTAGTTTGAAAGCTTTTGCTATTTATTTCCTTCCTGAAGTAGAGAGAGGAAGTTAAAAAGCACAATGTGAACTACAAAAACTGACAATTACTAATTCCTGAGTGAGGATTTCATTTTATAAATTACCATAAAAGAAAATTAATTCTGACTTACACACAAAAATGTATTTTCAAACCAATTTTTAATCATGTTTGTCTGCAACCTTATTCTTTAAGGAAAACTAATTATATGAAACTAAAAGTGTTGAATATAAAAGATGACAATATTTTAAATCTTAAATTTTATAATTGATGTTTAAGAAATGATTTTGTTGTCAGAACAGTAGGAGAGATTTCACAGAAGGTATAATACAAGGAACAGTGTCGAATGAGCTGTGAGTCTGAGGACATTATCTGAAAAAGTTAGTGATGTTGAGGGAGTTCCCAAGAGTGAAATAGGCCCTTCTTTTTATGAGTACACTCTTCCTACCTGTCCTGATACTTTTGTGGTTCCCATAGCACTCGCCCATTGTGCTGTCGCATGTGTCAAACAGCACACAGTTTCTAATTCCCATACTGTTTTCTGCGTGTCCCATGGCAGCCAGTGAACTTTGTCTAGGGCAGGGGCTGTCTCTCGCCCACCTTTTTATTCATAGATCCCTGTCATGTGCAATAACGTGTTGAATTAGAGACATGGAGTTAAGAGAAAAACACAAAAACTCCTGCCATGTGGGTGTAGAACTCTTGAATTTTATACTAATTGTTACTGTTTTGAGACTTACCTGTGTAGTCTCAGGATCTAGTATATAGTCTGGCACACTAGGGGTGGGGGGAATTATTAGTTGAATGAATAAAACTTTTGTACAAATTTCCCGCATTTGGGTTCCAGTGACGTTTATATCCCCTAAGAATATTTTACACGACTCATTGTGATGCTTCATTGTGTAGTATCTATAGATACTTTCTTAGAGTAGTCAAATTTGGATTGTTTGAGATGTTACCTTTAAGAGGAGTTCCCAGTGAAGAGTTGTTTTTTCCCCTTGAAATAAAAGTAAAACAAAGCTGGAAGTTCACCTAAATGGTAAATAAGAACAATAATACTTGATCACATTTATTGAGTCCTGTTTTAGATTTGTTAAATATAAACTGATGTTCATATAGTCTTCACCACATAAAAAATACTGGAAATTTCGCTCTTCTTAAAATTATAACAAGAATCATTATTCGGCCATTCCTTCTTTAACATTTCTGCATTTGAGCAAGCAGTTTTGGCTGTGGGTTTTTCTTTTTTCTTTTTCTTTTTTTTTTTTTTTTGAGTTTTGGTGAGTTTGCTTTATTATACATTCAGTGGCCTGAAACAACATTGTTTTAATTTTTCCCCAGCAGTTCCTTGTAAATATTTATGTCTTTTTTTATAAAACTGATATGTTTGTTGGTGTATTTCATGTGCTGACTTCTTTGTTCTGGTTACAATTAAGTAAAAAAGTATATTTTATTTGCATAATTTTTAAGGCAGTCTGTAATTTGGCGTTGTGAAATGCCTGTGAAGAACAGTGGAATTCTTTGTGTGCCTTATGCGGTGAAGGTGGTAATAGTTGCAGGTTTCTTCATTCATTCATATACTCATTTATGAGCTTTTTACTGGATTATAGTATGTGCCTGGCATTATGCCAGGTGTTGTGAATACAGTGGTGAGCAAAAATAGATATGGGTCTGTTCTTAATGGAGGCGGACATTCTCCTTGAGTTACTCAAGGATATATAAATAATCACATAAATTTACAAGTGTGATGAGTGCTGACAAAGCACAGGTCCATAATGCTGTAAGAATTTATTGTAGTTTTGGAAAATTGGGATGTTTACTTAAAAAATTGATGCCTAAAATGAGAACCTGAGGTATCAGATTAAACCAGAGGAAGAGAGGGGAAAGAGCATTCTCTACATGACAAATAGAGCAAATTCATGCCTGAAGAAAGAAGGACAGACAGACAGATGAACTTGGGTGAGAACAAACTGAAAGACAAGGGCTGGAGGGAGCACTGAGAATTAGGGGGACAAGGTGTAAGATGAAGCTGGAAGAATAGCAGGCCATGTTACTCTTTGATACTAAGAGTTAGGACAACTAGACTTGTTAAAAATTGGTAGTGGGAGTAGTTTTGGGGGAGGTGGGAAGGAAGGGAACAGGATTAAATTCACATTTGTAAAAGATAACTCTAGCTAATTGTGGAGAATGGATATATTGAAGGATAACCCAGGGAATAGGTAAAAAAGACTTCTCTAGTTCTATTTCAGGTAAGCAAAGAGTACAATTTGGTCCAGAGTAGTGAGGTAGAGAGGAAAAAAGTGCATGGATTTCAGAGATTTACTCCTGAGGTAGAATGACAGGACTGGGTGATGGATTGGATTGGCAGCGGAGGGGTAGAAATGTCTAATAAGATAGGTGTGGCTAATGATTAGATCTTAGAGCTTTAGAAAATGTGTACTTAGCAGCTTTGCTGTTGTTGAATGTAACTGCTTGTTATTAAAGCAATTTGTTCACTGTATGCACATCACGTAATAAGTGGGATTGGGGAAATAAGAGGTACCTCTCAGACAGGCATGTGGAGAGCTATGCTGTAGCTTCTCTGACATGACTTTCTTCTTGTATTTCCCTCCAAAGAGCAGTGATGGGAGACAATCTGTTATGTAGACTGATGCACCACGTAGAAACTGCTTAGTTTTTAAATTTAAATTTAGCACTAGTGAGAGCTGTCAGAATCCTTTGACCCACATCTATTCTTTATGCCAAAGGAACCAGTCCATAGAGGAATTAAAAACTTTTCTAATATTGCATGGGTAGGAAGGCAGAAATGTGATAGCTAAGATAGAGTAAAATATCAGAAGCTGTATTGAATTTAACCTTCTGTATGGGGTAAAAAGATAATGTGTTAAGTGAATTAATAAAGTAAAAGATGTTGTGAGTAATATTTAACACATGAATAATTGAGAAGGGATAATTATACTATTTCCCAGAAATTATAGAACATTGAAATTTATAGAATAAATCAAGAATTGGCCGGGCGCAGGGGCTCATGCCTGTAATCCTAACACTTTGGGAGGCCGAGGCAGGTGAATCACGTGAGGTCAGGAGTTCGAGACCAGCCTGGCCAACATGGCAAAACCCATCTCTACTAAGAATACAAAAATTACCCAGGCGTGGTGCTGGGCACCTGTAATCCCAGCTACTCAGGAGGCTGAGGCAGGAGAATCACTTGAACCCAGGGGACGGAGGTTGCAGTGAGCTGAGATTGTGCCACTTCACTCCAACCTGGGTGAAGGAGCAAGACTCCATCTCAAAAAAAATAAAAATAATAAAAAAATTTAAAAAATGAAAAATTAAGCATTATTGCAAATGTACATGGAAAACTGAATTAAGCATCTAATTAGAAAGTTTTATTCTGAAGTTTTAGGTTATAAATACTAGTTTTATATGTTCTGTACACATGTAATTAAATTTTTGTAGGAATGAAAGCTTCATGTATTAGACCCTAGTAATAAGGAGAAAGTGCACATATGTTATTTTTTTTCCTGAAGCAAATTAGTGGCTTTGGGCAAAAATTATGAGTAATGTTAACTATATTATAGGTAAGATGAAGCACAAATTGACATTTTCTTAAATAGTAGCAGTTTTGAGTTCTATTCATTTTTCATGATTTAAAAGTATTGTTAATCAGTGACATTCAAATACATATACCACTGCTTTAAATACATTGCAGTTTTGGAATAATTTGTGTTTGTGTTGTGTTAGAAGTGAATATCACTTCCAAAATTTTCAGAAATATTAATCTATACATAGTCTCATGACTAGCACTGAAAATACTGTGATGGCAAGTGGTTGATGGCTTTGGCTCCTTTTTCTAAATTTTGTAAGTAAATTTTTCAAAAAATATATTTTGGTATATTTATATACAGGATGAACTAAGGTCTCAGCGATTAAATATGATGAAAGTAGTATAGTATATTGGCTAAGTTTTAAAATTATAGCATTTTTCTTTCTCAGAAAAAAAATCTTTGACATTTCAACTTCGGTTTTATTGTGAATTATGTTTATTTAAATTTGACTTGATTTTCTTATTGAGTTGTTTTTTCTTTTCTTCTCTACCCTTATTCCTAACCTGCTTTCCTTTAGAAGTCGAAGCTTGTGGCCCGTGTTCATTTGCATTATCAAAATAATTGGCAGAGTTTGAAAACTGAATTTTTCCACATCTTTGCCAATACTGGATCATTAAAATTATTATTATAATCATCCTAGTGGGTGTTAAGTGGTAATTGTAATTTTGATTTGCATTTCCCTAATGACTAATGAGCATCTTTTTATGTGATTGTTGTCCACTTCTAGACGTTCTTTGGATAAACGTCTGTTCAGGTCCTTCGCCTGTTTTTTAATTGGGTTGTTTGTCTTTTTGTTATTGAGTTATAAGAGTTTTTTAATATATTCTGGGTACTAGATTCGTCCTGTATATTTACTTGTTTTCTATATTATCTGTCTCTCTCTGTAGTAAGCTCTGTGATGGCAGGATTTTTGTGTTTTGTCACCTACTGTTTGCCAGGTCCTAGAGCAGTGCCAGGCATAGTGTAGGTGCTCAATGACTTTTTGTTGACCAAATACATTATAGAACACACTGTAGATCCATCTTAAAAAAATTGTGAGATGACCATGTTATTACTTGATAAGTTGGGGGTCGGGAGGTGTGCTTAAGATGGCTGAATAGTCTTGGATCATCAGAATTCAATAGATCTCTATCTTACATGGAGGGCAAATAGAAAAACTAGCTTTTGCTATCCTACCTGACCAATTCAAACCACCCGTATTATTGAATAGAAACAGCTGTCATGAGTATTTACAAATAAGCTTTGTGAAACTACCTATATGCTGTAACATGTTCAAAATTTACTTTCATGATTTGAGGATGGTTAAGAAAATTGCTTCTGTCCAGTGAAATAACCTCTTAACTATCTGTTTTTGTTTTTGAAATGAACAATTTACTTTTAGGACTTAAAGTAATTAAATATAATTTTTTTAAAGGGCACTAGTATAGGTTCATGATTTTAATTTTCAGTGCCAAAGTATTTACTTAATGAACTTATCACTTTATATTTGATATATCCAGTGACCCAGAATTTACCTTTTTAATTGTACTGGTGCCCTCTTCCTGACCTATAATCATCCAACACATTTTGTAGGATTAAAAGAGATTTTTCACAAGTCAGTTTTACTTGAGAATCATCATTAAAAATAAATTTAATAATTTTATGAAGAGGTTGTAAAAATGTTCAGGTTGATCATTTATAACATTTCTTTCATGAAGAAATATAATTTTAAGTTTTTAAATTTAAACCACCATGTTTTATAAATCATATTTTCTGTCTGATATAGAAAGAGTCATCTTTTCCTACTAACCCTCTGTCTCTGTCAAACAACAAAACTGTTATTGTACTCCTTGACATAGTATCCTAAGGAGTCTGGTTGTGAGAAATGCATCTAAGCCACCCTATGTAAATGAGATTTTTGTAGTTACTACTGAGGGAGAATATCACAGAATCTAACTTCAGGAACCTTATAGGAACTGCAGAGTCATCAAGCAGCAGGGTTCCCACAGAACTTCTAATAAGAGGATACGGGTGAGGTGAAATGCAGTACGTAAATGGACCTCTTCAAAGAGGGAAACTTAATTCCTATTAAGTACGATGGAGAACTTTCCAAGCAGGTCATCTGAGCTGTGGCAGAACAAAGGTCTGTACATGGAGACAGAATGTGCCCTGTAGGCATGGGTCTTCAGAAATCGTATCATGGCACTTTCATTGAGGTTACTTGAAAACATGCGAACCTACTGCACAGGTAAAAAGAAATGTATTTTGAAAAGTAGACGCTTAAGGAATACAGAACTTAAACTTTTTGAATTGTTTTTCCTTAATTTCAGAAGAAAAAACTAGCTCTTATTAGATGAAGGCTGTGTAACATTTGTTTTGTAATATGTCAAATATGTTAGGAGTCAGGTCTTTCATAATAATCCATAATTATTTAAGTGTTCAAACATTAGGGCATTTGTCCTCTATTTTCTCCCTAACCATCGTTTTCCTCATTGATTCTTCATCTTTTATTTTTATACTTGGGTTTTAAGAATAATTTATTTGGGTCACTTTCTTAATTTCCCTCGAATTGGGAACTAATTAGGAAATTAATTTTCAATGCAAATTCAAAATGGGCACTTTAAATCTGAAAATCTACTTTAAATATTACTAGAATTTAGAATGTATAAAATGGAAGACATAATAAATGCCTTTTTTGTTTTTACTGTGCATTTGAATCTCAATGTGGAGTGACAGCTGTTGATCCAGTATAAAAATAGTTGGACCCTGCCTATAGCATCTAGTTTCATCTTCAGAAGATCAGTGGCTAATTTGCTTGGTACTCCATTTAAACTCTTCATTGAAGTTGGGGAGATGAGTTTTACATCACTTTTTTGTTCTCTTTTATGGTTATAAAGGGGCTCTATGTGTGTGCGGAACCTCACCTTTGACCTTTCCTTTGATAAAAGCAGTTTTCTTGTCAGGCATGAACACGTGAATATCCATGACAGAACTGTTCATATAAAGAAACTGAATTTAATGCTAAGGAGGAAAAAATTATTTAACTGTTGCTGTGTGAGCTGACATTGTTCTTCCAGTGGGATCTGTTACTGGGAATGTAGGGAGAATTATTTCTACAGCACAAGCTGCTTTTATTACTCCTTGGTGTAACAGGAAAAACACTGCGGTGAACTGTTAGAGCCTTTCTCTCTTAGGTGTTTAAAAACTGGACAGTTCTACATCGACATTTCTCTGCATGTAATAAAACGGTGTTAAGGAAAAGCTGTAAAGTGGTGCTTTATACGTTTACTCTTCCAAGAAAATTCACAGTTGGCATTTTGTGTTTTATTGCAGTTTAGTTACCTCATCCTTTTATCTTAAGTAAATTCTGGAGTTTGTGCATATATTGAGATTTCGTGCCTCATCTAATACAGAAAGGAAATAGGGAAAATGCTAATTATTTGTTCTTGTAGTTTAATCATAACTTCTGTGACTTTTAAGACCTTAAAATAACAACTTAAAGGATCCTGAAGTTAATCTCTTATCTGAACTACTTGGAAAGTCTGGGTAGACATCTGGACAGCTTAATTATTCTCAGTGATTTGAATTATTACAAGTATGTAAATTTTTAATCACAAACTCTTTCCTACCTGCTTAGCACAATTTGGGGCTGTCCCCCATCAGCCATCTAGGATTATGCCAATGACTTGTACCACAATAATACTAAAGCTTTTCATTTTTAATTATTTTGACCAGAAATCTTTCAAAATATAAATGTTCTTGCCTCCTTAAGCCAAGTGAACATCAGTTACCCTTATGTACTCTTTGCCTTATGCAGCTGTATTTGTATATTCTGGTTTTTGTGATTTCCCTGAATTTTCTTTTTCTTTTACTTATTACTTCTCAGTCATCAGTGATGTCAGCCTTCCTGGAAGAAGTCTCTCTTTTCCACTGAATTTTTCTTTTTCTCTTACAATAGTATCCAAATAATTGTCTAAAGATAAAATACTGATGGAAGGGCCTAGAAGTATTCTGTTAGGAATGAAGCCTATGAGTTTTAATTAAGAGTCAGTATCATTAAGCCCACACCCCTAGCTATCTGTTCAGAATTGATAGAAAAAAATCATAGCCAGTAGAGTTGATAGCAGAGTACAAAAAAAGGTCTTGTATGGTTAATAGATGACCGCCACTAAGTCTTACTAAGTTTAATTTGGGGGATTATTGTGTGTGTTTGCACATGCTTTGCTTATGTTATCCTCTGCCCAGAATACGCTTATCAAAGTCTTGCTCAGCATTCCTGGTCCAACCTTCCACCATTCGTATTGTGTCCGCTGATTCTCCTACTCTCTTGTTGCTCCTGTTCTTTCTTCCAACTTCCTTCCTTCTTGTGGCACTAACTGATTTCCCACACTACCTACTGTCACACACATTCAGTATTGTGGTAAGTACTGTTGGAACGTAAGGATTAATAATACATGGTAATAGTTTACTGTGAGTGTTTACTGAATGTTGTCTGTATGTTAGGCAGTATGCTAATTAATCATCTCAGGAGCATTCCTCATTTAATCCTCAAACCAACCCTGTGAGCTGCGTGCCGTTTTCATCTGCATGTTACAGTCTGGGGCCAGTGAGAAAAATGACATCTCCAAAGTTAGATACTAGTGAGTACCAAGGCAGGATTTAAACTCCAGTCTTCTGACTTCTGAGCTATGCATTTAACTACTTCCCTCCCTTAAGAAAACAACTCATTCTGCTAGAGTAGAGTAGACCCTGGAAGAGGGAAGAAGTAGGTGTAGAAAAGATTATACTTGAATGAAAGGACATGGTAACTTTGAGACTGATATGAAGTGAAAGCTGTATAGATGTAGTGTTATAATGGGAAAGTTAATACTGTGTTTGGGGAATAGTAATTGGTAGATGATAGCTAAACCATACTAGTTGTGCTAGGATATTAAGATGAAACCAAAGGTTGACGATCAGCTGTAGGACCAGCTTGAATAATCACATTTATTTACAAATTGTCCTTACTATATGAAAGTCTGTCTTGATATGGAAAGCTAAACAGGAATATCCGTGGCATGAATGTAAAGCAAATTCATGGAAGTAGAGCAGCCTTCTGAATCAACAGTCAAAGCTTCTCTGCACAGCTGTGATAAAATTTTAAATTATAAATGTGAGTACTGTGACTAATTTGTAATCATGCAAACCTTGTTTAAAATTGTAGAAAACGAGGTAGGATTGGTTGGGGGCCCTCACTTTTTGTTCATACTAATCCAAGCCTCCCAAGATTAAATTATTGGTATTGAGTAGACACAGTTTCAGTAATCTTCTTAAGCATTAATTTTCATAGGAAACATGAAGTCTGCGTATGTGGAGATTCCTCCATGTGCAGCTTACATTGTTAAGGTCAGAGTTACTGGATAGCATGAGGGAAGACACAAGAGGAAAATATAGACTGCTCTCAATAGGAAGATCAAATAGAGTACATGTGGCACAAGCAACATACAGCCCCAGCCAGAATATTAGGTTTTAATCCCCTTTGCCAGCTTGCTGCAGTAACCAACAACCCTGACATTTCAGTCCTGTACACAGTGGTACTCAAGAAGGGGGCGATGAGAACAGCCCATCCTGTGGGTAGGAGGAGTGTGTGACTACTGACATTGTTCAGATTTGTCTGCACGTGGTGATGGCAAAAAGGAATTTGAGAATGTTTTAACGTCTCTAAAAGCAATGTACCCTCTTTTTGGCTGTACTGGAGCACACCACAGCCACCATACCTCTCTCCCCAACACACCCAGCCCAAAGCTTACCGCCCTCATAACTTACATGTTGGCTGCAGGTGTGCTCCACGTGTCTCTTTTATTTTAAGATCTGGGCTGAAGGAGTAGCTTCTGCCTGGAATGTGCAGTTCTCATAAGAGAGGGAAAAGAACAAGACTTCTGGCCAAACCAGATAGTGGCACTTAAAGTTTCTGCTAGGAGCTAGCATAATGTCACTCCCAGTTGTATTTCTCTGGCTGAATCTGATGTCAATGAGGCAAGGAAGTAGGCCCATTTCAGAGAAAAGTACTTCAGGTCACTTAGCAACAGACAGTGACAAATAATCCTCTTAGAAGGAGGAAGCAGCAACTAATTGGGAACAATAATATTATCTACCACCATCGATTACCTTGTATCACTAGGTGATTGAACAGTTTAATTCCAGTGATACAAAGAGTCCTAACTTTGAAATAAAGAGGAACTTTATTTTTTCAGGTACCTCTATCTGTATTACCAGTATAACTATTCTCTGTTCACCAGAAACCTTTTAAAATGTAACATTAACTATCCTTCTAAACACCTACTGAATTATAAGGCCTGTGTACAGTGAGTTGGCTGGGGATAAGTAATTCATTACTGAAAAGGTCTTTAAAGTTTATTCTTTAAGCCTTTCATCATTATGAAGAGCAATCTGCTGTCATGAATAATCAAAGAACCTCCAAGAACGTCGTCTAACTTCAAGAAAAGCTTGACGGATTTGTTAAAGTTAGTTGGTCGATTACGATAATTTGGAGAGTCAGCAGCTCACTCATTAATGATTTTAATAATTATGGCACAAGAGTAGATGACATCTGTTGGAAACTTCTTCTCCCACTGCGTTATTTCCACTTGTGCATTTAGAGTCTGTGTTTCTAGAGGAAGAACGTCAGAGGGCTGTCTGCTGTGTTTCCTACCCTGATTTCTCTGCCCATACGACACAGATTGGTGCCTCACAGCAGTGGGCTACTGTGGAGGTGACCTGGGCTTTACACGTTATTTGGAAAATAATGGAAGAATAAGAGAAAAGACCACCATCCTTCCTGCTTTCAGGTATTGGGATTAACTGAATTCTGTTAATCTTGCTGCCACTAATGACGTTCTGTGTTTTGAGATGATGTAATTGACTTAAAATCTATTTCCCAAATTATTTGTTCATAAATACAGATAGTAAGCAAAGACTAAAGGTGAAACATTATAAAGTAAAATTTTGCTTAAAGGTAAATTATACAGCATTTACCTTTTATTTATTTATTGGAGGGACTTTAAACACTATAATATGTTGTCTGCAAGCTAAAATGTCATTTATATATGTGCAGTCATTCTTGAAGTTAGATGACGATGCTCTTGGAGGTTCTTTGATGAATCGTGACAGCAGATTGCTCTTCATAACGATGAAAGGCTTAATGAGAAAAACTTTAAAGACCTTTTCAGTAATGAATTACTTATCCCCAGCCAACCCACTGTACACAGGCCTTATATTTCAGTAGGTGTTTAGAAGGATGGCTAATGTTACAACATTTTAAAAGGTTTATGGTGAATAGTGAATAGTTACACTGATAATACAGAGCTACGTGAAAAGGAGATATCTGTTTCATGATTGTAGGCTATTAGATAGTCCCATTAACAGCTTGGTCCACCTACTTCCATCCCCCGCCCCCCCGCCAACCCTCTGCATTTAAGCTGAGTGAGGCTAGATAATTTTAAAAGCTATATTGTTTTGCAATCCCTGTTGACCAGTAAATTGGTTGAATATAAATTCCTCTGATAAAATCATGTGATTATATCAGACTAATGTAAAGAACTGCTTTTACAATAAAAATAATTTTGATGGTAAATCAGAGCTTAAATTGCTAACTAAAACAGTATGTAATCGTTGAGTCTCATGTGTAGGATCTCTTCCTACTGAGGGTACCTAAAAGAGTTCCAAATGCAGTACATGTTGAAATTTTCTCCTAAGTATTACAACTAGGGATGAAGAAAAGAAAATGCAAGTGTATTTGCTGACCTTGGAATCCCTTTACTTAATTATCATTCGTGGGGTTTTTTGTGTGTGTGGTGGGGGAGTGTAGGATTAGTGTACATTTGTTAGAACTTCATCTTGGAAGATAATTTTCTTAGGATAAATTTAATAAGATTCTTGGAAGTAAAGATAGAGTAGCATGTTTTTCTCTGTTCTATTAGACTGCGACCTTAAGTGCACAGACTGGGTTTTTCTCTACCATCTATTAAGCCTGCCAAATGTTTAAGAAATTATGGTTTTATGTATAGTTAGATAGAGAAAATATACTACATATGGAACCTAAAAGCTGTTGCTATATTAAATTTTGGAAATGGAAAATCTGAGGGTAGAATCCTCCTCTTCACATTTATAAAGTCATTACATTCCTTCTAACTAAACCATTTTATGTACAATAAGAAAAATACGGCAGTTATACCTCTGAAGTGTTTTGTCTTGATTGTAAAACTCTCTCAATTGAATGTAATTCTATACTTGCTCTTCAAACTTGCTATGCAAATATGCAGTATATTGATATATTAATATTAAGTTTGCTACATGGATTAGTCTACAGATCTTTATACTAGGAACCCTGTTTGCAAGTGTTTAAGTTAAATAAATCGGCAAAAATTAGTGTTTATAATTTGAATTAAAATTACAGAGTTAAAAGAACTGCAACATGAAACACTTTAATGGGAATAGAAGGTGGTTTCATAACTTTCTGATTACATCTCTGAACATTTAAACATTACATAAATTTAAACAAGGTTTAAATAAAAGATCATTTTCTACAGTGATCCAAAAAGCATTGTAAACAGTCAAAATAAGCAAGCCAGTAATCACTTTAGAAGACTATGTACTGGTTTTGATTTGTGGAAGAAAACTTCTGGAATGTTTCCATTTGAATTTACAATAATCTCTTGGGTTTTTTCTCTTTTTATTCTCTTTTTTCATCCTCTAGTGTAAACACATCTTTTTTAAGTGGTGTGATTAAGAGTTATTGCCTAAAGAGTTGACCAAATTAGCTGTTAGTAGTATATGACTGAGACCAAAAGAGCAAAACATGATTTTTTTTTTTTTATTGTTCAAGACACAGTTTGTTGTATTAGTAATGACAGTTACAGTTGGTGGTTTTGTTATTTGGAGCCTAACCAGTATCACTGGGTTGTATGTTGGGAGGAAAGAAAGAGTTTCTGTTTAAATAGCTAACAAATGGGTTTGTTATCATTTCCCCACATACAGGGTTTTGAGTTACTTGTTTTACACTTAACTTCAGCCAATAAGTTGCCTTAATTCCTGATATGATTTGGCTTTGTCCCTACCCAGATCTCATCTCGCATAGTAAGGAGGGACCTGGTGGGAGGCGATTGAGTCATGGGGGCTGTTTCCCCCATGCTGTTCTTCTGATAGTGAGTTCTCAGGAGATCTGGTTGTTTGATATATGTCTGGTGCTTCCCCTGCATGCTCTCTCCCCTGCTGCCTTGTGAAGAAGGTGCTTGCTTCTCCTTCGCTGTCTGGCATGATTATAAGTTTCCTGAAGCCTCCCCAGCTATGTAGATCTATGAGTCAGTTAAACCTTTTATTTATAAATTACCCCACCTCAGGTAGTATCTTTATAGCAGTGTGAAAACAGACTAATGCAGTTCGTTTTTGAAAACATAATTGACCCTTGAGTAACATGGGAGTTGGGGTGCTAACCCCCTGCATAGTCAAAAATCCACATACAACTTTTGACTCCCTCAAAAATTTAACTACTAGTAGCCAGTTGTTGGCTGGAAGCCTTACCGTAACCAACAGTAGATTAACACATATTTTGTATTTTATATGTATTATATACTGTAATCTCGTAAGCCGGAGAAAAGAATATGTTAAAATTATAATGAATGTCAGTTTGTATTCTGGCCCTGCTTCTTCTACGTCATCTTCCTCATTGTCCAGCACTGGTTCAGAAGCACTCATCTCTATCAAGCCATCTTCTGTTATTTCTTCTGATGTGGTATCTGTTAGCTCTTGAATTTCTCCAAGATCTTTATCTTGAAACCCTTTACTCTGATTGGCTCTGTAAATCCTATGAACTCATGCACAATATCTGGACACAGTGTTCTCTAGCAGGAATATGTTTTGGGCCAGATGGATTAGCTTTTTCTGTAACAGTGATGGCCTCTTCAGTACTGTAATCCTACCAGACTTCCATGTTGTTCTTGCTGTTGCGGTTCTCTTTAATAGCAATAACCATATCATCTTTTCTGCAGACTACTGTGTGTAATGAGCCTCAAGGGTCCTTATGACCTCCTAATCTAGAGGCTGTATTAGTGATGTTGTGTTTGAGGGCAGTTAACTACTTTGGTGCCTTTGGTGGTGAGCTCATGGGATTCTGGGTGGCCAGGGACATTGTCCAATATCAAAAGAACTTTAAAAGGTGGTCTCTTACTGGCAGGGTACTAGGTAACTTCAGGTACACAGCATTGATAGAACTGATCCAGAGAAAGCATTCTCTTCCAGGCCTTCTTTCTTATACAGCCAAAAGATTGGCAGCTGGTGTTATCTTTTCCCTTCAAAGCTTGGGTTTAGCAGTTTTATAAATAAGGGCAGTCCTGGTCATCACCCTGACTGCATGTGCATAAAACAGTAGCCTTTTCCTTTCTGTCTTAAATCCTAGTGCTTCCTTCTCTTCCTTACTTATAAATGTCCTTTATGGCATTTCCCCCCCATGCCGGAATAGGACACCTTTGTCCACATTAAAAACCTGTTCAGGCAGATATTCTTTCTTCTCAAAGATTTTCTTAATGGTTTCTGAGAACTTAACTGCTGCCTCTTTGTTAGCAGAAGCTGCTTCTCCTGTTACCTTGATATTTTTAAAGCCAAACCAGTTTCTAAAATTATCAAACCATCCTTTGCTGGCATTAAGTTCTCCACCTTTAGCTCCTTTACTTTTGTTTTGCTTTAGCTTGTATAATGACTGCACTTTTTCTTAAATCATATTAGAATCTAAAGGTGTGCCTTTCCTATAGCAACCCTGCACTTACATACAAGTTGCATTTTTTGTACAAGGAGGTATTTTGCAAAAAGCGGAAGGTTTGTATGGCTGCAGCAATGGCTTCAGGAATTTCCTTTTCTTTCTTTACGATATTTATGCTGGATTCATTTATCTTGACATAGTGAGCAACCACAGCAGCAGACCTCAATCCATGGTGCATATCAAGCAATTCCACTTTTTCTTACGTCCTGACTTTGGTTTCTTGGGAGAACTTCCGGCATCACTAGTGGCACTTCATATGGGTTCCATGGTTTTTTTTCAAGAGTTACAGTATTGCACTAAACATGATGAAAAGTATGTGAGAACTGCTTAAGATCACTTTTTACTGTGATGTGGAACTCACTGGAGTGATGGGCTGCACATGCGGAGATGATTAGCGCCATACTTGTGCTCTGAGCAGATACAACACAAGCTCACCACAATAGCATCAGGAGATGGTGATGAAATTATTCCAGTAGTACAGTATGCACTAAAGTTAATTTTATGCTGTTGTGATCTGATACTGCATCTTTACATTCGTTTACATCTCTTGACTGTGAGTGGTGCCAGGTACAGTCCGTATGCCCCTGTTTTGATACATTTTAACTTTTTATAATAGATTTGTGGCATTTCATGGTAGTAGAAAAAATAGACTAGTATCTACATATATTTTATGCATGCATGGCATACTTAATTTTTTCTTAACTTTTGAAAATATCTCTAGGCTGCACAGTTTGCGAGTTTTTCAAATTGTCACAAATTTCCAAGAAAAATTTCTTCCAAGAAAAATTTCCAATATATTTATTGAGAAAAAATTCACATATAAGTGGACCCATGCAGTTCATATCCATGTTGTTTGAGGATCAACTGTACTCGCTTCTTAGTTCTTTGAAGGAATCTGCTTCCATAAGTTTTCAATATTTTCCCTTGCAAGTTCCCCAGCCGTAACCTCAGTCTAACACTAATATTCTATTTCTAATAGCTCACGAGAAGCTCGCAGTTAGCTAACAGTGAGTGTTCGTAGTGTGCCAAGTATTAAGATAACTCCATGTATTCTACTTGGATGTTTAACCATTACCTCCAAACTCTAAAAGTTCGAAAATCAAATTCATTCTTCTGTCAAAGCTCATTTCCCTTCCTAAGTCCTCCTTTTCTGTCACAGTTCTCAGTCCTGTTCACCTTTTTCAGTTTCCCTGTGTGCTATGAAGTCACATCTCCCTGCCTTTCCTGATTCCGTTCCTTCTAGCTAGAATTCTGTGCCCTCTTTTCTATTTCTGCTAATAGCCAAAATATATTCTTTGTAAAATCTGTAAAAGTGATTAAGATGTCTTTACTCCCCCCATATATCAAAAAGTTGGCATGTTTAATAAATGTTAAAGGCTGGTTGCAGTGGCTCAAGCCTGTAATCCCAGCACTTTAGGAACCTGAGGTGGGTGGATCATGAGGTCAGGAGTTCAAGACCAGCCTGGCCAAGATAGTGAAACCCGGTCTCTACTAAAAATACAAAAATTAGCCGGGCATGGTGGTGGATGCCTGTAATCCCAGCTACTAGGGAGGCTGGGGCAGAGATTTGCTTGAACCTGGGAGGTGGAGGTTGCAGTGAGGCAAGATCACACCACTGCACTCCAGCCTGGGCAACAGAGCAAGATTCCATCTAAAAAAAATAAATAAATGTTAGAGCATTTGGGGGAAAAAATATGTAATATATTATCTAAATCATAGGTCAGCAAATGGCCCTCAGGCCAAATAAAGTCACCACCTGCTTCAGTAAAGTTTTATTGGAACATAGCCATGGCCATGTGTTTTGCTGCTAAGACCATATGCCCTGCAAAACATAAAAATTTACTATAAAAATTTACTCTGTGGCCCATTACAGAAAAATGCTTGCCAAACCCTGCTCTAAATGAACACATGTTAACTAGAGTCCACCGAGATTTTTGCCTAAGTTCCAAATGCTCTTTCTATAGCAGGTGAGCTTGTATAGCCTGTTCAGAACCACAGGCAAGAAAGAGATGTGTGGTATACTTTTCATTAAGGTTTACTTTAATTTCTTTCTACGTTGGCATAGTGGTTTTTTGTTTGTTTGTTTGTTTTTGAGACAGAGTCTTGCCCTGTTGCCCAGGCTGGAGTGCAATGGCATGATCTTGGTTCACTGCAACCTCCGCCTCACAGGTTCAAATGATTTTCCTGCCTCAGCCTCCCAAGTAGCTGGGTTAACAGGAGCCTGCCACCACACCCAGCTATTTTTTGTATTTGTAGTAGAGATGGGGTTTCACCATGTTGGCCAGTCTGGTCTCTAACTAAGTCCTGACCTCGTTATCTGCCCACCTTGGCCTCCCAAAGTCCTGGGATTACAGGCGTGACACACCGTGCCCAACCACTAGCAGAGTATTTAAAAAAAAAAAAAAAACACTTGGCACTTAGAGACAAGGCATCAGGTAGTTTACTTTAAATTCTTTTTACACTCCTGAACTGTCAGCTCCTTAATGCCAGAGAATCTGATCTAAACCTTCTATGGCTAAAATCTGGAATTCTACTTGCTTCCCTCTACTATGTAAACAGCGATAATTTCCCAAACTTTACTTTGTAGCAATATTGAAGTAACGCTTCAGTTACATTTCTACTACCTTTCCCCCAAAAAGATTTAACCCAGAAAAAAGTAACCTGATACTCCCTTTTCTTCTGTTTAGATCATAGTTTTAAATAATACTTAGAAATTACCAGCAGTATCTTAAAACTCATTTCAGAACTTTTCCTCATTCATTGGTGACCGCAAAAAAAGGTTGAGAATGTAACAGATGGCGAATAGAAAGAATAACTGTATCCTGATTTTGTGCCCCTGTAAGTTCCCCTCTGCATAAAATTTGAATCTGTAACCATGTACCTTCTCAGCCAGAATTTCAAAGGTTATGGTGTTCATCTATAAATTTCAACAGTCTAACGGAGACAATTGAAAAAGAAAAATGTGTTAGAAATAGTTAAGGGAGCTAAAGCTTATACTAGAATAAATGTAGAAATCTGCAACTAAGGTTTGGGAGTGATAAAGGGAACTGAGGAATAATAATAACCCACATGTCAGCAATTGCTCCCTAAATCTGAGAGCCAACACTGCAGTCCTAGCTTTGGCATAAGAGTTAATTATAGAGCTAAGGCTGTATTGGTAATGTATCAGAAAAAGGAAAGAGGGTTTTAAGAAATACTGTTCAGGTTAAATAAACCTTTCTTTGACCCAGCCATCCCACTCTGGTGACCTGCTGTGCAAATATAACTGCACGTTTATGATGTTACATGTTCAGGTTTATTTGATTCAGCATTTTTTGTAATAGCAGAAGACTAGATACAATTCAAGGGTCCAGCAATAAAGGACTAGATCATAAAATCAAAAAGGCATTGAAAGTTAAGCCAAATGAAAACATGTCACTTGGGCGTATACATTATCAGCAAAATAATGTTGGAAATGCAGTGAAGGGTGAGCCTAAGAAGTTTCTAGCAAGGGATGGTAAATGAGAGACAACTGTGCATTACAAAATTTTACAAATGTTAAAAAATGTCAAGTGGTTTTTAAGTTGCTTTACCTTTTACTGTAATACATGAAAAACTTGTAAGGGCTTGCACAGGTTGCCTTGTTTTAGTTCCCATTCCTGTTTTTTATAAATAAGGTTTTCAGGAATCGAGTCCTCATGGCTCAGTTAGAACTCCTCTGATTCTTAGTTTCTTCACCTGTGAACAGAGTAAAGGTGAGATATTAGAACAACAGTTAAGAAGTACATTTCTTGCAAAAATTGTGTTCACAGGGGAACAGCAGTTTAGATGTTAACATTTGTACCCCATAAAAAGGATTCAAGGTAGTAGGAAGGGATACTTGGAAACTTACCCTCTGATGACGTTTGTCTGAGTAAACACCATTATAGGCAAAGACAATTATAGGTAAAAGCTAACCAGAGGTAAACAACAGGAGCCTACATTTTAGATTCATGTGTGTCAAGTAGAATTTCATAATGGCTTAGATATGTGGGGTAAATGTAAAGAATCAAAGAGAACACAATTTTTGTGCTTAGAATCCTGATAAATGTTTTCTGTGATAAATTAGTCATGGTAGAGAATTTGTTTTATGGGGGAAAGAAATTTCTGTCCTCTAGGGTGTTTCCTTTGAGTTCAGAAAAATTAAAATTCTGGACATGTAGAAGTTGATTGAGCTTTGACTAGGTTACTAAATTAAAATTTTTAATGCATTGCTATCTCATTGTATCATTATTTGCTATAATAAATCTCTGGATTTTATTTTCGAATATTTGAAAACTGGAGTATATTTTATTTCTTCTTACCTGAACAAAAAAATGTGGAAAAAATGGTTTGGGTTTTGTTTTTGTGTTTGTTTTGTTTTTTGTTTTTTTTTTTCATGCTACATTTTTATAGTAACTACCTGTATTAGACGTTTTTCCCCAGTGTTTTAAGTATTTATGTAAAACTCCACATGTATTATTCACAACACTTTTCTGTGGTTAAGCTTTTATTGCCACTTTTCAGACGTAAAATAAATGGCCTGGAGAGTTTATGACCTATCTCGTTACACATCTATGATACAAATGTAACTCAAAGTCTTCTGACTCCAATGTCATTATGTCTGCCTACCCTAGTATCTGTTTTCTTTTTAATGTCATAATACTGTAGCTGGTTGACAACATGCTTCTTATCTTTTCAGGATATGGCTTTAGTTGCCCCTGAAGCTCCTTCAGAACAAGCCAGAAGAGTTTTTCAAACCTACGACCCAGAAGGTAAAAGATTTTAACATCATCTCTGTGTTTTATGTCTTCATATGTTTGAAATACATTGATAGCGACCTGATTTTATTCAAAAGATATATTGGATTATTTAATGAAATGTAAGTTGTGTTTCTTGAACATTTTAAAAGGAAAGTAGTGAAAATGGGAACAAATGAAATAGCACACAAGTCCTTGTTGAGTTGGGTTTCTGTGTTTCTTGGAGTACTGAAGGTGTAGTTGACCCCTCTGATTAATCTTGACCCCAAACAGGGAAAAATACCACCTTTTGAACAAACTGTTTGAAAAGTAAATCATTTTCTTCTTTACTTATCCAAACGAATATTAAATAAACAGATCTTCCAGGATATTTCTGTATAATTGACCTCCCAGGATAAAGAAGCAGAGGAAGATCATCTGAATCATTCACTTTGGAGCCTATGCTTAGCTATTCTACCTAACAAAGTATAGTTTTTAGAAGTTCACATATATATCATTAAAATGTCTACTGAGTCATTGTCACTGAGGTTGTTTTGATCACTTTTGTGTTTACATATTTAGGTAACGGTTAAGACTTTATTATAGCTAACTCACTGACCTTTCAAGTATAACTTCAAAACTAAGTTGTCATACTTCAGAGTTCCCTTACGAAGTACCGTGTAGAAATGGAAGTTGCTGTATCCGTGAAGTCCTTGTAGATATCTGAATGGATTCAGTTATCTTTACTTTCTTCTGTCTTGAAACTTTGTACACTTAGTGATCTGCTCTTTTCCTCTCTGAAAATCCATGTCATGCAAATTCTAAGAATATATCTTCTCTTACCACTTACTAGCAGATAACTTTAGGCTAGTTACTTTTAGGTCTACTGTTTTCTTAGGTATCAGTCTTAGAACAACTGTAACTAGTTCTTAGAGGCGTTATGAATATTAAATGAATAATGTGGAAAGCACCTTGCCCAGTGGTACAAGCAGTTGTCCAAGGTAATAGTCATATTCTTAACCCAGTATAACTATGAACATTCCAAAACCAAACACATGGCTTTCATGTAATCGTTATGTGTTGTGTTGTGTTTTGTTTTACTAGTGAAGATTTTGGAACCACAGTTGAAACGGAGTGAATGACTTTCTTGAGAAAAGAAACATAAAAGGAAAGGATCAGAAAATCTTAGGAGATAATAACTATTAAAGAATAAAGGCATGAAAAAATGCCTTCAGAGCAGACATAGGAGCCCTAAACTTTAGAAGGCTGATGTTGTAAGGCTGAAAAAATTTCATCAATGCTGCAAAGATACTGAAATTAAGGTTGTTAAAGTAGGAGACAGTTGTCATAAGTAGTAGCTTTGTTTGCTTTTAGTAATCACTAATGAGGTAGCAGGCTTGTACTATTTATTTTCTTTTACAGTGTACCAAGGAAAATGAGAATTTCTCATATTACCAATACTAAAACATAATTTATAATCAGTGCAATTTTTCAGAATTGAGTTGTGAGAGATGCATATGAAAATTTGTTGTATTTCTTTTAGACAAAGAAAATTACTAAATGCTTTTAATCTACAGAGTTACATGTGACAGCTTATCATGACTATAAACTGAATTATTAAAGCAAGCAAAACTTATTCAGATAGCTTAGAAAGTATGCCTCTATATATGACTTAGGAAGAAGATAAAATCCACTTTTCATCTAAATATCACACTGTTCGTGGTTTAGCTATGTGTATAGTCAGCTCTAAGAAGGATTAAAAGTAGATTAATTTTTCAGTTTTTTTTCTTTTCACTTACAAACTAATCTGCTAATTTAATTTTCTTTCCCCAAATGATATGCTTTTGTTTCAGGATGTAAGCAAATCATGCGTTCTCAGAACACTTAGTATGCAGAAAGTTCTTACAAGCATTTACATACAGTTTCCATTTAGCAGAGGCTGGTATAGGGACAGTTATCCTGTGTCACCCTCCTCAGAATGCTTTTAGAATAACTGACCTAGAAGGACACTGAAGGTACCCAGGAGTATTTTTATATCTTTATCTCACTTTTAGCTCCCACCCCTGGTTGATAAACCCAGCTCTCTGACAGGTAGGTGGATTTGCAGTCACGCTGTTAACACTGTGCTGTGGGTATATTCCTAATTAAATAGGCGTGTACAGGCCAGTCACCATTTATAGCATTGCCTCTATGAGACCACATCTTCCATAGTGTAAACAAGTGATTTAGTACTGATCGTTTGGAGCATAAACCTGGTATGAAATTGGGGATCTATCTAAGAATGATGTGTGGCATTTGCGTGGAATGTTACGATTTCTGAAGCACTTTACCTCCATGACCTCATTAAAACCTTGCCACAAACCTAGGAGATAGGCAGGGATCATCATCCTTGTTTTTGTTCTTTGGAGAACAACCTTTTGATGGTTTGAGTCACTTCTCCAGAGCCACATACCTAAATGTGAGAACCAAGACTAGATTTTAAGTGTTTCAGCAATCTTTCCCCTTCTCTCTACTACCAGTATCTTTCTTGAAAGGCTAAAGTCATAAAAAGGTACTTTTTAACCTTTCTAAATTTAAGTTTACTTTGAACTGTTAATTTAATGGAGTAAGGATTTGATATTCTCGCTTCTAGTTGAGCAATTTCTGCCCATTTCAGAATCTTGAGGATCTTAGGAGCCCAGTACTTATTTTGATATCAAGCATACTTATAAAACAAGGTCAAAAATATAGTTTTTAACTGTTAATTTCTCATTTGAATAGTAACAAAATTGTACTTTCTGTGGGACCTTGATGTATCACCTCTAGATAATTGGCTCAGTTTAATCTCAGATTCAGAAAGGGGAGACTAGCACACTTACTCAGCTTAAAGAGAAGCAGTTATCAGGTCTATTCAAAGTGTTCCACATGAGCTTTGGAGAAAGTCCACAGTGTTTATTTTTGTGTGTCTTTTTTGTGGAAGAAAATGTTTGGATATGTGCTTCGTATTCAGGTACATGTTTTATAGGAATTATTGTAAAATGATTGATAAAGATATATTAATATGATCAAAGATACTGGACAACAACAATTCTCTAGTGCCTCTGGATACCAGGAAAATGGCTCCATCCGTTACGCCTCACTAGCTGTGTGATGTTGGACGAGTTCCTACCTCAGTTTTTCATCTGTAAAATGGACTTAAGAGTAACTTTATATGATTAGTCAGCACTCAATACATTAACCATGGTGTTGTTTTTTTAAAAAATGTGTGGCACAGAGCTTATTCCATAACCTCCAAAGACATCAAGGTCTACATAGGTAGTGTCTGAACTGCTAATCACAGGTTTTCACATTATACATAATGAATTTTGTTTTCTTCTTTCTCCTTTATCCCCTCCCCCTTGTACAATTATATGTCAGGAAGCAACACCATTTCTTTTAAATCTGAAGCTGTTTGTTTTGTTAAGTTGCTAAAATATGTTGACAGCCATATTTTGTCTGATTTCAGTGTACTGCATTTTTTTAATCTTTAAGAATAATTGGACTATTGTAGGTAGAGCTTAATATACACCACTCCCTAGGCATTCTCTAGAATTGCCTTGTCTTTTCTGTTCCTTTTAAATAAATGCTCCTCCCTGTGCCCTTGCTGTGGCCTCCCGTCACTGTTAGCACTGTTTCTGTCAGGCATCCCCAGCTAACAGTTTTCTGTATAGTGCCACCATATTTTGTACCTTTTCCATCCCATAATAAAAGTGAATTTGCAGTACAAGCTATAAATGAGCTACTTATTTATGAGCTTGTATCATTAAAAGTAACAAATGTTAACGAGCAGCTATGAGTCAACCACTGTGCTAGGCCCTGGGGATCTGGACTCCCTGCCCTCCAGAACTCATTGCCCACTGGGGAGCCAGAAGTAATGCCAAAGAGGTCTGGAAAAGCTCAGCTCTGGTGTGTGACTTGGCCTTGGGGAAAAGGTCACTTGCTTTTTCAATAGGAATATAGACCTACAATTTAATAAATACTAAGGCTTTATTAAATTCTATTTTTTTTTTAATTCCCAAGAAACTGTAGTCTCCCTCTCCCACAGTGTATGGAAAATGTTAGTCTCAAGTACAGTGGGCTTCACAGTTTCCTTATAAGCTGTTTGTTGCACAACTCTGAGAAACCTTTTTCCAGCTTCTCTGTTAGTTTTGAGTATCCAACATTTGGCTTCTCTTCCTGCAGTGTCCAGTTTAGCTAGTATCTCTGTTAAAATTGAGACCTGCTAGGCTCTCCTGTTTATTTCTTAATCTTTCAGGACAGAAATCCTGATTGTTTTATATTTCCTTTGAAAGCCCAACTCAGGTTTCCTCCCAGTTATGAAATAGTTATCTTATCCAGGAAATTACATGCCTCACTTTCACTGTCCTTCATCAGCGCTCCTTTGCATTGAGTTATTCCTCCCCACAATCTCTAAGGACTTGACACTTTTAGCAATCTGGATATTCAACTGGTAAAAATCTTTTAAAATTTTAAACCAACAGCTTTTTTCCTCCTTTCAGCCACAATCCAACAGCATTACAGTATGTACATGCTAGCCGTTTCCCATCCTGGCTGCTCTGCCCTCTTTTGCTTGCCCTGCCTCATAGTCCCCATTCTTTTGTGTTGATATCTATGTAGTTAATTTACCAGTGTATGCAAGTTCTATTTTTTTCTTTTAGTTCTTCATAGATCTGCTTGACTAATCAAATGGTATTCTCTGAGATTTCCTTTGCTGTTGACTTTGAGGTTGTCTTTTCATCTTTGTGCCTCTGTTTCCTTATTCTCTAGGGAGTCAGTTGGTGAAATGTCAGATGACCTAGGTTTCATCTGTTTTTACACTTAATGATTCTGGCCTTTTTCTAAGGAATTTTTTGTAGGTATGGTTAACATGTCAAAGTAAGTCTTCTACAAAGGAAAATAATTTTGAAATCTCTTCTAATCTTGAGTATATTAAAAGTTTTGAATTATTGAGAAAATTCTATTACATCTTTAGTTTTAAAATACTAAATGTACAAAATGTAGAGTTACTGACCGGGTACAGTTATGGTTACACTTCAGAATATCTGTGCTTATGAGTTGTAAATCTCATAGCTACCTTAAAAATGTTTAAGCTTGAGGTTAATCATATATAAGCATGTTGTTAAGAAGGTCACATTGTTGTTTTTGTTGTCATTTGCCAATTAGCTCTTGGTTGGGGTGGGAACTGAGTTGCAGGTTATGGTTTCTGCGGAAAGGCTGCCAGCCATGACAAAGTACATGCTGTCAGTGCTCCTGAAAAACGGTGTACAGACTGAGCATCCCTCACCCGAAAGGTTGATCCTCCAAAATTTTGAGTGCCAATATGACACCGTGGAGCATTTCAGATTTTGGACCAGATCAGGGATGTTCAGCCATTATATATTTGCAAATATTCATAAACCAGAAAAAATTTGAAATCTAAAACATTTCTAGACCCAGGCATTTTGGATGAGGGAGACTCCACCTGTAATATCAAATGGATATAGCCTATAAACACAGAAACCTAATTGTTCCTGTCTGTTGGTGGCCACATAAAGCCTGTTTCACATTCGGAGACGCTGAGCCTTTAGCTATGACTTAACTTAAGCAAAATCAGTGATCAGACTCATCAAAGCTAAGCCCACAGAGCCAGAGCTTGAATGTTTTCACAAGTGCCTTCAACCAAGGTCGTCTTTATTCTCAGTACCTCAAATTATTGGTAACTTAACAAACTGGAATTACTCTAAACCCTTCACTTAAAAAATTGCACATTTTTAATTATTCTAGATGACTCATAACCTTTTAGTCAAGGCCAATCTGTCTTCAAATGGGTAAACAGCTCCTTATGAGGTTTAAGAATAGAAAAGAGGTTTAAGAATAGAAAAGACCTTTCTACAATCATAACTTCATTCCTTTCTGATAGAGATAGTGTACAATTCCACACCCTGAAAGAGCAACTGCACACTTTATTCTGTAGTTTGATTATAGGAGCAGGGCTTTTGGACATCTTGTTCTCCATGGCAAGATTTTTTTTTTAATCATCTAATCCCTGAAGGACATTGGAAGCTGATTTAAAGCTGAGACAATCTTCAGGAATGAGTAAATGGATAGGGAAAATTGGGCACTGTACATTTAAGGAATAAACAACTTTTGTTTAAAACCACTCTCATTTCAAACTACCCCACAAGGACTTTGTGTGTGTCATGGTCTGTTGCATCATCAGAGTTTGGACCATTTTCCATAAAGTAGTCATCATCAGCATTAGTTTGACTCTTCATTTCAGGGCTGTTTTTTTTAAACCTACAGCTTTCATTTAAATCACCAAGTCTGTTTTAGAATACCTTTGCTGTTAATCTGTCAGTTGTCTAAGTATCAGTGGATCACTGACATTCCTTCAAGAAACTAAATAACATTGTGACAAAGGGAATTTGTTGGTAAAGAATTATTTTAATTGAATTGTTAAATGCAAATGTAAAGGTTTACTTTGTTTATTGAAAGATAAACCTAAGATTTTAAGTAGAAAAATATTTTACCCACTTAACGCTGTAACACTGTTTAAAGATCAAGTAATTTGACTTTAAGCTTTCGTCGGAGTTCTCAAGTTAAAAAATATTTTTAAGTATTTGCCGATGTTTCCAAGAAAACAAATAGAAGAGGGTCTCTAATAGCAATAGGCACTATGCCTAAAATAAACTTAAGGAATAGTATGTTAACTCTTTGTATTTTTTATGCGATTTTTTTTTCCTGGAACCTGATCAGCATTAATAGCATTTCTTGAAGTAAATTCTTATTTCAAGTTGTTTCTGATTTTTTCCCCCCTAGATAATGGATTCATACCCGATTCACTTCTGGAAGATGTGATGAAAGCATTGGACCTTGTTTCAGATCCTGAATAGTAAGCTAAATAGGAAGTGTTATTTAGCCAACTCAAAAAGATTCGATTAAGTTTAAGACATATTGTACATTTTTTGCCTTTTTAAAAATCTATATCTGCATATATGAAGCATAGCAATCTATGTAAGGCAAAGATTAAGAAATCGAACTAATCCAATATTATAGCAGACTTGACATACTTAAATTGAGTTTCCTTTCCCACCCAGCAATTACTGTCCTGCTTTTTAAAAAATGCTAAAAGTGTCTTTCTATAAACTTTAAAAAGTTTCTCTGCAAACACTTCCCCACGTCTTAAAATTTTATGTGACATTAGTATCTTCAGTAAAGTAATGACGGTTCTGTGTAGATGGTGCTAGTTGCCCTGCTTAAATAACCAGCAGGCCTCTGACTTTCCCTCTTAAATAAAGATGATCAAAGATATCTAACATTTCTAAATGATTAAATTAACTGACCTGAAACTTTTAGGGATGGCTGCAATATATTATGGCATATCGTTTTTCAGTATTTTCTTAGGATCCTGTCATTGTCTTCATTCTCACTGTTATGTTTTATGCATTGTTACATCTACAACTTCCTCTGTAGATTAAGATCTTTAGTTATTATCCATGAAAAAATAACTCTTCTTAAGTGGATACATGTATTGATCAAATATGGGAATAAAAGTTAAGATAGGACCTTTACTCCTTTTTTCAGCATAGTTTTTCCTTCTGCAAGTTTTTCTAAGAATGCAAAAACTTGAGCTTATCAAACATAATGAAAGAGTTCAGCAAAAGCAACAGGAAACATTGGTAGACACCGTTTTTAGAATTTGGTCTTGTTCCGTTTTTAGATGAGTTCAGTCATACTTTCTTTGAAAGTATGCAATACACATAAACTAGCCACATCTGAATTAATGTGTCTCAAGCTTACTACTCAGAGCTGTGATTTCATCCATTCTCAATAGTTAGAAATATTAATAAATGAATAATTGTTTTCAATTTAAAGAGAAATTCAGAGTGTTGAACTAGTCCAACAAATGGTATGATAGTAATTACTATACTTCTTCTAACTTTATTTCCAAGTAGAGACCATGTTGTTTACACTGCTCTAATTTACAAAAGAGAATTAACTCAAGTAATTTTTGTTACTGACCAGCCTAAGACAAGGAAGAGAAAGAAGAAAGTTTTTTTTTTTCCAAATTCTTCCATAGCTATATATCATCTACCTAATTTTCCTTGTTTTATCAGATGGAAAACGTACCTTGAATCATGAAGTTAGTACAATTGATTCAATCAGGTTGTTTTTCTTGAAGTAGTTGAAAGATTGGACTGAAGTATTCACTCTACTTTGGCCTATTTACAACTGTAATACAGAATGGCCCATGAAATAACTGGGCCATCCTAAGGATTAAATGAATTAAACACAAATGACCCTGCCTTCATTTGTTTCATCATAACTTCCCGGCCTTACTCAGACTCATTAAAATGCCATATCCTTTGTACAGTATACTATACAAGAATGATAGCCACAGGCCCACAAAAGTATCTCACAGGGCCAATACTAGACGTCAGGTAGGAGGTCTGTGAGGCAGCCTGACCCAGGTGTTTCCGGGAGAGATGGCTATGTCAGCGCAGATGCAGCTTTCATAAACCTTAAAACATAGCTTACCCTCACAAGAATAGCTTTAACTCCTTTTGTGAAAGGCACACCTGGTAACTGACCCAGACCGAAGAGGCAAACTGAAAGGAGAGAAGTTGCCCCTGAGGAAGGTGGTTGACTAGAACCACCTGAAATCCCCAAACACAACACTTTGCATGTTGTGTAGTAAGGTAGATTTAACTTGGCCTTTATAGTTTGAGATAGCAAGGAAAATAAAACTTTTCTGAAGACTATTTTCATTTTTAAACCCATTAAACTGCAGTCTGCCTTCTTCTGCCTTCTTCTTCCTTCTTTCTAGTCACACATAACACCACCTGTCACCAGCCTTGGTACACCTGCATTGTAAGGGCTGGTATGCACTTTAGGCTGCTGCTGGACCAATACAGTATATATCAGTCACTGTCATTCATGACGCATTAGCTCTTTGAGAATTAATGTAGCTCTTTAACCTTCAAATTACATTGTCTATGAATTTTAAGCTGCTATCTCATTTAGTTTTTAAAAGTAAGCTTTTTAAGAGATGTTTTCTATTATCTGATGTACCACTGCCTTTTGACCCTGTATTTTAAGCCCAAGGAGAAAAAGAAAAACATTTTGTTAGTTAAATGCCTCATTTGTTAAATTCAGGCATACCTATGAAGCAAAGAGAATTTGCCTTTGGGAAGTTACAAGCTTGAGTTTATAAACCTTGGTTTTTAAATTACTTTACCTAATAAGGAACAATATTCCAAAGTCATCACAATTTAAATTTTAAATAGTAACAGATTACTCTAGTTTAAAAATAACCAAGTTTGGCAAATTAGATGTCATTCCTGTGTATTTGTCATTAAGGTTCTAAAAAGAACAGCTCTTAGTGTTTTTGGCAGCCGAATGTGTTGTAGTACCAGTAATTTAATCATGAAAGAAAAGCAGCTTTTTTTTTTCCTCTGGTATCCACTGTTTTTCTTCTTTCTCCCCGTAGTATAAATCTCATGAAGAATAAATTAGATCCAGAAGGATTAGGAATCATATTATTGGGCCCATTTCTTCAAGAATTTTTTCCTGATCAGGTAACATAGTTGAGGAAATATATTCATTGTTATTCTGTTGGGATGATTACCTGTGATTGTTTGCAGCATTTTCTCTTTCTGTACAATGTCCTAATGCGCAGATATGAGACTGAGAAAACACCGTTACATGGAAACCTTCCCAGACAGAGGGAATGTGTGTTCGAATACGGTAACGCAGTGCCTTGATGGGGAGGGCAGCAGAAGATGACGCAGACACCAGTCTATACACATAATGATACGGAGAGAACAGTTCGGAAGTTTGAGGAGTAAAAAGAGAAAGATTCTCTTTCTCCACTCCCACCCCCACTTTTCTTCTCTCAGGAAGCTGTTAAATACTGTGAGAAGAGGTCAAGGTGGCTGTGGGTAGTAGAAGCCCCTAGCTAGTGAAGCTAAGCTCCTGGAGAATTAAAACCTAAGTGGGTCTGGGCCGTTTCCCATTGGGACATGTCTTCCACTGGGCTTTGATAGGAGCTCAGTTACCTGGAATAGCAGAGGCATCTGGGCCAACCTGAATGTTTTTGAGTTGTATCTGCATCATTGGCAAGCCAGTTCTATATCCAATACCCATCTTTCTGTCTTTGTTCTCTAAGTGAAGCATTTTACCACTAAATCAAATTACTTAACTAGATAACAGATATCATGGTCATTTTATCAGATATCAGTATAGTTTGCACTGAAGTTCATTGTTGCAATAGACATTCCAATTTCTATTTTACCGCTATTATTAGAGAGACATATTGACAAATAGAAAAAATTTAAAAGCAAGAGGGAAAATTTCAAAATATAATTACTAAAATTCAGAATGTAATTGTTAAAAAAGATTGTTAAACTCAAGATAAAATTGTTAAGAAAGAGGTAAGATTCAAAAAGTAACTGAGGATATCACAATGTAGACAATGTAGACTACTGGACTTCTTAAAACTTTGGTCTTAAAGCCTTCATGAAAAATTAGATTTTATTGTCCGACATTAGACCCTTCAGTGTGATATCCTCTTTGTTCACATTCTGACTGGATATCTGGATTAATAATACATTATACCATCTTAAACTTTGAGACAGTATTAATTTTAATTATATTTCAAGGCTGCTATCGGAACTTTTGATAGAAATGTTGATTCTTAGTTATAATAAAAAGAATATTCCTGTTTTTAATTTAATTTGGGGAAGATTTTGAAAAGTGAGAAATGTAAAGTGAGACAGTTACTTGTAGTAATTTTTTAGGTAAAAAGAGGGTTCTAGTCCCTTCTCTTTCGCCTGTAACAGACATTTCCATTTGGTTGTACTGTTTGTTGCCTCTGTGTTCCTCTCTCACTGTTTACTTGTTGCCTGCTATTCTGAAGACACTCTCCACCTGGGCCTGGTTTGTCTCATTGTCTGTATAGTTCATGCTGTTTGCCTCCCACGAGCATGTGATCCTGCTCTTGGTTACCTTTAGAGCAGTGAGTTCTCAGTATGATCTCCAAGAGCTTGTTAGAAATGCTAATTCTCAGGTTTCTCCCTGAAGCAGAGACTTTAAGGGTGGGTGCAGCAATGTGGTCTAACAAGCCCTGCAAGTGATCTGGAGGCCCAAGTTAGAGAACAGCTGCTTTAGAGGAAGACCTGTCACAGTCCCACCTATTCCCATCTGTTCCCATCCTATAGCAGCTCAGACGCCCTCGGTGTCATAGATCTTTTCCGATCATGCCCTACATACCACTGATGTCCCCTTTCCCCTGTAGCC
Organism: Homo sapiens; assembly: GCF_000001405.40. Taxonomy (NCBI): domain Eukaryota; kingdom Metazoa; phylum Chordata; class Mammalia; order Primates; family Hominidae; genus Homo; species Homo sapiens. Next base: position 15,784,840 of record NC_000010.11, on the reverse strand, counting down.
ACAAAATGCATAGTGACTCAACACTCCTTTTGGCAATTAGTCACATACTGCCTTGTCCCTAACAGATGAATATAGTGATCATTCCGTAAACTATTTATTTATTTAAGATGGAGTTTCGCTCCTTTACCCAGGCTGGAGTGCAGTGGCACGATCTCAGCTCACTGTAACCTCCGCCTCCCTGGTCCAAGCAATTCTCCTGCCTCAGCCTCCTGTGTAGCTGGGACTACATATGGTGGCCTGGCTAATTTTTGTATCCTTAGTAGAGATGGGGTTTCACCTTGTTGGTCAGGCTGGTCTCAAACTCCTAACCTCAGGTGTTCCACCCGTCCTGGCCTTCCAAAGTGCTGGGATTACAGGTATGAGCCACCTCACGAGGCCCAGTAAACATTTATTTAATCAGCCACAAATAAATGAAGTTGCAAAACTGGAGTGACAAGGACAGCCAGGAAAATATTTAACTTCGGTAATCTTTACAATGCTTCAAGTAGGTCCTGTGGAAGAACACTTATTTGCTATGATGTAGAGGCTGATGCAGGAAGAAAAAAGTGGTAATATTTATAAGCTTTTCAAGACCATTCGTTTAAATAAGAATAGCAGAAGCAGCTCCCCTTTCCCAAGCACATACTCTCCATCAGGCACTGTGTGCCTTCCAAACACCATACTATTATCTTCCCCATTTTGACAATGAGGAAATTGAGGATTAGAGAACTTAAGACGATTGTTGAAGGTCATACACTAGGTATCTTAGTAGCTGATTCAGGAATTTTTTGACAATGAGGAAATTGAAGATTAGAGAACTTAAGACAATTGTTTAAGGTCATACACTAGGTATTTTAGTAGCTGATTCAGAAATCCAATATAGTCTGTCTAACCACAGAGTCTATGCACTTTACCAGTGGGCTACACTACTTTTTGTTGGTATTTCTGTATTTTATGCCAGTTAATTACTGGAAATAGGGAATATAAATTATATTCAGTTACAGGAAAATGGTTATTTAAGTTCAAATAATTTAACTCTGATAGCCAAGAGTCAAATTATGTAACTAATTGCAATGACTCCTGTAATTAAGGAAACGATCAAATTGATTTTTCTATTTTCTGTAAGGCATTTTGAGTGGGATACAAAACAATTTTAGGCTTTAGTTGGGAATGTAAGACATGAAAAATTAAACAGTCTTTCAAAATAATAGAAGAGATGATACAAAGTAGTACTATATGATTCCTTCTCAAATTATTTAGACAATTGTTATGATAAAGGTTAAGTTCCAGTGTAGTAAAAAACTAACTAGTGTGTCCAGGAAAAACTTTACAGAAAAAGTAAGATTTAAACCAGGTCTGGAAAAAGGAAGGAGAGGAGGGCATTTTAGAGAAGAGTAAAAAAAAATCATGAATGTGCAAAAGGCCAACAAAAGATCTTTTCATGATGAAATGAGTCATGCTTGTCCAAAACAGAATTCAGAAAGGTGAGTAGTTGGAGATAAGACTAAAAAGGTAGATTAAGCCCTGTATGATTTTAAGACTCATGATTGCAGGTCACAGAACCTCAGCCTAAATTGGCATAAGTGAGGGGGAAAATACATGAAGGGGAAGGAGTAGCTCAGGTGAATTGAAGAAGCAAGCACCGGGAAAGTGCTCCTGGAGTCCTTGAACAGCACTGGGAGGTCTCCACCTCCCATCCCCTGTCTCTAAAGTGGCTACATTCTCACAGCCTATCTTTCTGTAGGAGCTGAAGCTCCAGTTGCCAGCAGCTGTCTTCCCTTAATTCCAGTTGGAAAAAATTCTAAGGAGGGCCATGTGCCTGTTTGTATCCATCGGATATGGCCAGGAAGACAAGGGGGATCTATCCAGGCAGACTCAGCCAGGGGCCCTGAGGGAAATCACTGGGAGCCAGGCCTGTAATGGCCTTGAACGCCAGGTTAAGAGGGTTGAACGTGATCTTTAGCTAATTGAAAAGCAAGGTTAAGATAGTGGGAATAACATGACCCATTTTTCTACAAGCTTACTCTGTTAGTGATATATAGGATATCCTTTCTTTATTGAATATTACTGAAATCGCCTTAAGCATTATAAGTATGTTTTCATTTCTCACAGTGCTCTTTTCACTAATTAATGGTTGACAATATTCAAATATTGGATATTTTTTGGAAAAGAAACCACTAATTAAACATCGTGGGCCAAATTGGAAGTATTGGTACATACTGGAAGTGTATTTAGTCTGAGTAAAAGTGATGCTACTGCTTTTCTCAATTCATTGAGAGGAACAAATTATTTACATAGAAAAGGAGATATACTTTAGCAAATGTTTTAGAAGCTTGTCTTTTGAAAAAAGTTATAGTGATACATGCACATAATTAAAAAAAAAATAAGTTAGTTCTGAAGAGCTTATAATGGAAATCAACCTTCCCTACTTTCCAGCATCTTCTTCAGAGGCAACACTTTCAACTTCAGGGCTTTCTGGTAGTTACAACTCCATAAACCTAAGTTCCTTCTTTTGTCAAATGAGTCCCCAGTCAAAGGATAAGGATTTGAGAAACATGCATTTTACTTTCAGTTGATTAGAAATTGCCTGATATAAATATAATTTAAAGTGTTAATAGTCCTTTATTTATAATAGGGCTCCAGTGGTCCAGAATCTTTTACTGTCTACCACTACAATGGATTGAAGCAGTCAAATTATAATGAAAAGGTATGATAATTCACGTAGTCGTCGGTGTTCAACTGGGTTGATGAAATAATTATGTGAGTATGTAACAATGTTCGATTCCCGTACAATTGCTACCTAAGATTATTCCAGGAGTCTCTTTACTATGAGGACACATTTTAGAATCAGCCATCTTTGGATTTGACCAGTATATGTTAGTCTGCATTGGAAACTGACATTGGACTTCAGAGCAGTAGTTTCACCATGACTAAATACACCCCCATACAGATCGTTACCCTTGGCAGTGTAGCGTGTTTCTAAATCAACATCGTAGTTAGTCCAGTGAAAGTTGTTACTTATCCATTTAAAGGAAGAAAGAGGTAACAGTGAGACTTTTTACTGGAAAAAATATTTTTAAATAAATAACCTTCATAGTCAGCATATATTGAGCATTTACCCGAAATTGTATTAAGTACTTTGCTTAAGTTTCACAGCACCTTATGAAGGAAGTGTTGTCTGTATATCTCCATTTTACAGGTCAAGCAGCCAGGAAATGACAGAGCTGGGAGTGAAACTTAGTCCAGCTCAGAGACCATGCTCCTACCCATGATGCTTTGCAGCTTTCCTTTGCTAACCGTTGACAAAGCACATAGGTGATTCACTGCCAGGTGTACTCAACCTGGCGTAAAGCTAGAGTTCGGCTGCATTGATTTCCCCTTTTTGTGTGTCTATTATCTTTGCATTTATTCAAGTATGAGTTACAGTACATACTAGTTATAGTATATATATATATATATAATATATATGTATTAGTTATAGCTAATATTAAAGGAATAAGGTCTAACATTCCTTTTTAATTTGATCTGCCCATGCTGACTTCATGTATCTAAATTGTGGAAGGTTACAGAAAACAGTGTAAATTAAGTACATAATTTTAATTAGACCAAATCTAAAAGACTAAAATTTACTGCTATCTTTATAACAAAATATAAATTAGATGTTTTTGTCAGGTCCAAAGATATATATATACAGCATCCAAATTTTCTTGACAATGTATATTCTTTGCATGTATATATATATGCAAACTTGGATGTTGTTTTCTAATGTGCGAATGAGTGCTTCATCTAGAGTTTGATGTTTGCACAGCTTTGTAATAGGAGGTACTTTATAATCACTAATTATTCACCTACACAATCCCTGCAAGATAGGTCAAATATTATCCATATTTTACAGATGAGGCATCTGAGACGGGGAGATCAAGTGACTCACCCAGGGTCACACAGCAAGTCATTGGCAGAACAGGGATTGGAACTGAGTTCCTGATTCCCAATCCTGTCCTTGGTCTGCTTGGCCACTCTACCTGTATGTAGTATAAGTTTTCAAATCATGTTTGTGACAAGCTTCTGACACACCAACAAAAAGATTAGAAAACAAATAGGATGAACTGTTAAAATGACAGTAATATACAGCAGCTATAAAGCAAAGTATGGATGTCATTAAGTCACAGAAATATGTTTTGAAGTTAATCAGGAGCTAAAATTATAAGCTGCATAGCAAGGTCCTGTTAGAAAGGAAACAGACAAAAGGAGAATGCTGGCAAAGTGAGATGGAGTCTGAGCCGCCAGGCATCCGAGCCTGATTGAGGCCATGGAGGTGGGTCATGGCACCTTGCCCAAGCACTTCTGCTCTAATGACATGAGTACATGAAGTTCTTTGTGAAAAATAGGGCCGATTGTATTTAACTTAATAACTTGAATTATATTCTTTGTGTATAACTTTTCAGAGAAGGCAGTTTTGCTTTGGGGACTGAAAAGCCCGAGTTGTAGTTTCAATGTCAATTTATTTCATCAACACTAGAAACTAATATATTAACTAAAATAAAGATGCCAAAAAATGTATTTCACGTTACAATGTATCTTTAGCACTTTCTTAGGAATGAGTAGATTCATGACACAAGATTATCTGATCTAGTAATATATTCTATTCCTATATTTAATGTGTTTTAGAGGCAACTACCATTTAAGGATAATAAAGTTGTTTCTTTTGGCTCCTTAAATAGCTTATGGCTTTTATTTTGGAAGAACATAATTACACTCATGTGTATCAGCCAGTGAATGTGTAAAAATAATTTTATACACTTTGGAAGAAGACAGTCGTCTGTATCTGTTTCTTTTAAATTATACAGCATCAGAATTTCTCTTGGTACAAAAAAGAAATTAACCACCAAGGAGTGCCTTAATGTCCACAGTGAGCCCTTGGTAATGAGTTAGGGTTTTTGTTGATATGTCCAAAATACTTTTTAAGTATGTTTCATTGTAAATTAATCAGAATAAAATTTTTCTTGCTATTCACCTGCCAGTATATATTTCTGTGATCACTGCCACTGCATATACAGTATCTGGTTAGTTTGATCTTTCAACGTCTCTTTTACTTTTCTTTCTGTCCTGACATCCTTTTTAATTTTTTTCTCCATGATTTTTCATGCTGTACAGAATGCACTCATGAATTGCATTTCAGGAATATTTAATACCATAATAGCAAGTTTTGTTGACAAACATTCAAATTGGTTTCAGCTCTAGAAATTCAATACTTAAATTAGAAGGAGACACATGTTCCTCAGAACATAATAGCTATATTCCTTTTATAGCTCTCCGTTTCATTAGGCAGCATGAGCATCTGAGAACCTCAGTATTAAAGCAGTAGGACCTGTATAAATTATATGTAAATATGATAATTAAGCATTTCTTTCCGATGGTATAGATCCGTTGAAGAATGTTTTTTTTCTTAGAAACAATCTATGTGTTTTAGGATTCACATGATCTTGAATTTTTTAAAAATCACCTGGCCAGCTAGCAATTAAATATCGTTTACAAATTTACTTTCACATTAATCAGTAAGCAGATATTCCTTCTCATTTCTAGCAAAATAAAATTACATGTCAAGTTTCATCTGAAACTATGTAATACCTTATTTGCTAGCCTCTAAAAATTGTTTTCATTCCACATAAGAATTTGCTAAGACTGTTGCTTGACCTTGGTGGCTTTATTTTGTTCAACAGGTCATGTACGTAGAAGGGACTGCAGTTGTGATGGGTTTTGAAGATCCCATGCTACAGACAGATGACACTCCTATTAAACGCTGTCTGCAAACCAAATGGCCATACATTGAGTTACTCTGGACCACAGATCGCTCTCCTTCACTAAATTAATTTGTCTAAGTATTTATAAGGAAGATCTTAATAACAGATGTTGAAAGAAGGAGTCAAGACTGGCAATTGGCTGGATTAAGCTAAACACTGGTATCACTGATTAACTGTAAATAACAATTAAAAACACATTTTCAGTGTTTATGATATGTTTAAATTATTTGTCCTAAAGCTTTATGTTAAAGATTATCCTATTTTACCCCTTCGTGTGAAATTTACTAGCAAAATTAAGCTTTCATCAAAGTTCATCACTTTTGCATTCAGATACTTGGTCATTTACTTACCAAATTACAAACGCAATACTACAGCATTTGTATATTAAGTATCACAGTTACTATTGATAAACTACTTTTGGGTTTTATTTCATTGAGGCACTTTTTTTATTGTTTGAATGATTCCGGCTTGTAATATATCAGCCTCTACAATGAAATGCAGAAGAGTTCATTTTTCTAAGATCTGTTTTTCATTAGAAATATTGACAAATAACACATTGTCAACCTGGATCCTTTGACAATTTACTTAACTCTGGCATGTTCACAAAAAGTAGAAACTCTAAGAGACCATTACCATTTATTCACAGATGTATAGGGGATGTATTCTAAAAACTGACAGAAAAGAGAATCTGATAGTCAACACTGTTAACTTTTACTGTGTAATTGCCAAATACACTTTTCCAAATTTGTCCCAACAGCCCTGTAAGCCAGCTTTCTTCTATATTTATAAACACGATAAATGCATGAGAAGATCTGTTATTACATTAGTATATTACGTTATTTATTATGATCCTAGTTGATGGCCTAAATAAACACCTTTTTCTTTAACTGTACCCTTGCATTTTTTACATTGGTGGCTCAAAATAAACAAATACGTACTTCTAAATGTTTCTACCCAATAACCCTGAGAGCACAGAGTACTACAAATGGCTAAGTCATACAGGACCTCGAATAAGAGACCAGGCCTTATGCTAACCTAAGAGCTCTGCTAACTCAGCCAGCCAGAAGCATGAGAACCCACATGGCAGCTTTCTAGACCAGTGAGCAAAGATGCAGAAGCCCGTTTACTTGAGAGAGAGATCTGCTGTATTCTGATAGGTTTGTGGCCCAGCAATTTAAAATCACATAGCCATTAATACTTTTTTTCCTCCACGTGTAAAGCCACGTGTAAAGCAGATAATTATGTAGTATCCTCTTACACATTTCAGAACTGAACATTACCTTCAATAGTATAGTTCCTGTGTGAATTTCTGTTTGGGTTTTGTTTTCTTTCGTACACACACACAATTACAATATAATTAAGCATAGGGAAAGGCATGAGATTTTGTGTATAACTTTTGGTGACATTCTGTTCAGGAGTATGATACTACTTATTAAACTTACAGCTTTCAAATGTCAATATTTTGGTCTAGGCTACTTCCAAATCTGTATAAAATATATAATGCTAGAATTAGTTTCTCAAAACTCTGGTTTAATAATCCCAAATTCCAAAAGGATTACACAAAATCGTAGATTGTCTCATAAACATCAAGCCTATGAAATAGAATGGTCCTCTTACCATTGTTACACAACAAATCATCCCAAAACTTCATGGCATAAAACAACCATTTGATTAAATGTACAAATTCTTTGCTCAGGAATCTAAACGGGGCAAGGTGGGGATGCATGGCTTGTCTGCTTCAGTCAGCAGCCAGGGGCTAGAATTTTCTGAAGCTGTCTCTACTCACGTGGCAAGCATGACTGGACCTTAGCTTGATATCATTGCTGTAGAACACTACATTTAAATAGCCATGGGAACATTTCCTTTCCACATGCACTTGGGCTGCTTACCAAACTAGATTATATGCTGGCAATAAAGTAAGTCTAGAAAATCTCAAAAGATTGGAAATTAAGTGACACACTAATGAATTACCAAAGGGTCAAAGAGAAATTGCAATGGGAATTAGAACATACTTTCTACTGAGTGTTAATGAAAATATGACATAGCAAAAATAAAGGAAATATATAGCATTAAATATGATATATTAGAAAAGTAAAACATTTGAAAATTGGGAACCTAAGCTTTTATCTCAATAACAAACCCAAAATAAGAGGAAGTAAATCCTAAAAGAATATCCATATACAAAAGAATGAATTTGGATCCCTACCTCACACCATTTGCAAAAAGTAACTTAAAATGATTGATTATATATCTAATTATAAAAGCTGAAACTATAAAATCCCTAGAAGAAAACAAAGGAGTTGATCATGATCTTGGGTTAGGCAATGGTTTCTTAGATAAGATACAAAACACAAATGACAACAAAGATAAATTGGACTTAAAATTAAAAACTTGTGTGTGTCAAAGGACACCCTCAAAGTGACATGACAACCCATAGAGTGGGGAAAATATTTGCAAATTATATTAAGGGATTTGAATACAGTATATATAAAAAACTGATAACAACAACAACAAAAACTTTTAAATGGACAAATGATTTGAAGAGACATTTCCCCCAAAGAAGATTGGTCCTTAGAGAAACACCAATTGATCCTTAGAAAAATACCAGTGAAAACCATAAGATATCACATCATAGTCATTAGGATGGCTAAAATAAAAAAGATCTGCAAAAGCAAGTGTTGGTGAAGATGGGGAGAAATTGGAACCCTCATACATTGCTGGTGAGGATGTAAAATGGTGAAGACACGTCAGATAAGAGTATTGTAGCTGCTCAAAAAAATACAGAGATGGCACATGCCTCACTAATCCCAACTCCCAGGTATATCACCAAAAGAAATGATGAAAACATATTCACATGAAACTTTTTGTGAATGTTCATACCTGTATTATTTCATAATAACCACAAAGTGGAAACAACCTGTTGATCAGCTAATAGAGGGATAAACAAATATAGTATAGATGGTCTCCGACTTAACAATTATTCAACTTAGCAATTTTTCAACTCTTACAATGGGTTTATCAGGGTATTAAATGCATTTTTGACTTACGATGTTTTTGACTAATGATGGATTTATCAGGACATGACCCCATAGTAAGTCAAAGAACATCCATATATATATACAATGGAACCTTATTTGGCATTTTAAAAGGATGAATTACTGACACAGACTACAATGTAGAAGACCCTTGAAAACATTATGCTACATGGAAGAAGCCAGTCACAAAGGCTGTATGCCTGATTCCATTCATGTGACTGTCCAGAATAGGCAAACATAGTGGATTTCAGGCACCAGGAGCTGGAGGGGGGACAGAGTAGGTTAACAGGATTGAGGAGTGACTGCTAATGTGAATGGAATTTCTTTTTGGGGTGATGCAATGTTCTAAAATTAGATTACAGTGAGGGTTGTACAACTCTGAATATATTAAAAAACCACTTAATTGTGAGAATAAAAGATAAACGGGGAAACCAATGAAATAGAAAATAGATATATAATGGAAAAAACTCAGCAAATCCAAAATTTAAGCCTCTGGAAAAAATCAATAAAATTGATAAATCTAACAAGATTGATCAAGAAAAAATGAGAGCATTAGCATCAGGAACAAAACGGGAAACATTATCTGGATATTAAAATAATTGGAGGAGATTGTGAGCTATTTTATGCTAAATTAAACTTAAAAATTTAGATCAAACAGACAATTTGAAAAACACAACAGCAGAAGCAGAACTGACACAAGAAATTCTGTATGTCTTAAAGAAATTTAATCAATAATTCAAAAACTTTCCTTAAAGAAAACTCCCTGGCCTGGATGGCTTCACTAGCAAATGCTTTCAAACACTTAAAGAAAAAATAATAGCAATTTTAAATGCTTCCAGGAAATAGAAGGAATAACTTCAGAATTCCTGTTATGAATCCAGTGACCCTGATATCATACTTTAAAGACATTAAAAGAAAGAAAAATTATAGACAAGTATTTCCCATGATAATGGGAACAAAAATCCTATACAAATAAGAAACATCAATAAAGTATGTATACATGTATGTGTGTGTATATAACACATCATGACTAAGTGGGGATTTTGGCAGAGCGATAAGTTGGTTTAATATTAAGAATAAGCATTTTTCACATTAACAGAAGGAGAAAAGTCATGATTCAACATGGCAGAAAAAGCATTTGATATATAATTTAAAACTTACGATTTTTACCCAGTAATGGGATGGCTGGGTCAAATGGTATTTCTAGTTCTAGATCCCTGAGGAATCGCCACACTGACTTCAATGGTTGAACTACTTTACAGTCCCACCAACAGTGTAAAAGTATTCCTATTTCTCCACATCCTCTCCAGCACCTGTTGTTTCCTGACTTTTTAATGATTGCCATTCTAACTCGTGTGAGATGGTATCTCATTGTGGTTTTGATTTGCATTTCTCTGATGGCCAGTGATGGAGAGCATTTTTTCATGTGTTTTTTTGGCTGCATAAATGTCTTCTTTTGAGAAGTGTCGGCTCATGTCCTTCACCCACTTTTTGATGGGGTTGTTTTTTTCTTATAAATTTGTTTGAGTTCATTGTAGATTCTGGATATTAGCCCTTTATCAGATGAGTAGGTTGCAAAAATTTTCTCCCATTTTGTAGGTTGCCTGTTCACTCTGATGGTAGTTTCTTTTGCTGTGCAGAAGCTCTTTAGTTTAATTAGATCCCATTTGTCCATTTTGGCTTTTGTTGCCATTGCTTTTGGTGTTTTAGACATGAAGTCCTTGCCCATGCCTATGTCCTGAATGGTAATGCCTAGGTTTTCTTCTAGGGTTTTTACGGTTTTAGGTCTAATGTTTAAGTCTTTAATCCATCTTAAATTAATTTTTGTATAAGGTGTAAGGAAGGGATCCAGTTTCAGCTTTCTACATATGGCTAGCCACTTTTCCCAGCACCATTTATTAAATAGGGAATCCTTTCCCCATTGCTTATTTTTCTCAGGTTTGTCAAAGATCAGATAGTTGTAGATATGCGGCGTTATTTCTGAGGGCTCTGTTCTGTTCCATTGATCTATATCTCTGTTTTGGTACCAGTACCATGCTGTTTTGGTTACTGTAGCCTTGTAGTATAGTTTGAAGTCAGGTAGCGTGATGCCTCCAGCTTTATTCTTTTGGCTTAGGATTGACTTGGCGATGCGGGCTCTTTTTTGGTTCCATATGAACTTTAAAGCAGTTTTTTCCAATTCTGTGAAGAAAATCATTTGTAGCTTGATAGGGATGGCATTGAATCTATTAATTACCTTGGGCAGTATGGCCATTTTCACCATATTGATTCTTCCTACCCATGAGCATGGAATGTTCTTCCATTTGTTTGTATCCTCTTTTATTTCATTGAGCAGTGGTTTGTAGTTCTCCTTGAAGAGGTCCTTCACATCCCTTGTAAGTTGGATTCCTAGGTATTTTATTCTCTTTGAAGCAATTGTGAATGGGAGTTCACTCATGATTTGGCTCTCTGTTTGTCTGTTATTGGTGTATAATGCTTGTGATTTTTGTACACTGATTTTGTATCCTGAGACTTTGCTGAAGTTGCTTATCAGCTTAAGGAGATTTGGGGCTGAGACAATGGGGTTTTCTAGCTATACAATCATGTCATCTGCAAACAGGGACAATTTGACTTCCTCTTTTCCTAATTGAATACCCTTTATTTCCTTCTCCTGCCTAATTGCCCTGGCCAGAACTTCCAATACTATGTTGAATAGGAGTGGTGAGAGAGGGCATCCCTGTCTTGTGCCAGTTTTCAAAGGGAATGCTTCCCGTTTTTGCCCATTCAGTATGATATTGGCTGTGGGTTTGTCATAGATAGCTCTGATTATTTTGAGATACGTCCCATCAATACCTAATTTATTGAGAGTTTTTAGCATGAAGGGTTGTTGAATTTTGTCAAAGGCCTTTTCTGCATCTATTGAGATAATCATGTGGGTTTTTGTCTTTGGTTCTGTTTATATGCTGGATTACATTTATTGATTTGCGTATATTGAACCAGCCTTGCATCCCAGGGATGAAGCCCACTTGATCATGGTGGATAAGCTTTTTGATGTGCTGCTGGATTCGTTTTGCCAGTATTTTATTGAGGATTTTTGCATCAATGTTCATCAAGGATGTTGATCTAAAATACCCAAAGGACCATAAATCATGCTGCTATAAAGACACATGCACACGTGTGTTTATTGTGGCACTATTCACAATAGCAAAGACTTAGAACCAACCCAAATGTCCAACAATGATAGACTGGATTAAGAAAATGTGGCACATATACACCATGGAATACTATGCAGCCATAAAAAATGATGAGTTCATGTCCTTTGTAGGGACATGGATGAAATTGGAAATCATCATTCTCAGTAAACTATCACAAGAACAAAAAACCAAACACTGCATATTCTCACTCATAGGTGGGAATTGAACAATGAGAACACAGGGATACAGGAAGGGGAACATCACACTCTGGGGACTGTTGTGGGGTGGGGGGAGGGGGAAGGGATAGCATGAGGAGATATACCTAATGCTAAATGACGAGTTAATGGGTGCAGCACACCAGCATGGCACATGTATACATATGTAACTAACCTGCACATTGTGCACATGTACCCTAAAACAGAGTATAATAATAAAATTAAAAATAAAAATAAATAAAACTTATGATTTTTTAAAATCTCAGTAAACTTAGACTAGAAGGGAGCTTTTTTAATATGATAAGGAGTGTTTAGAAAAAAACACATTCTTAATGGTGAAATATTAAGTGCTTTCTCCCCCAGGTTCAGGATTATGACAACTATGTCCATTCACCTCTTCTGTACAGCATTGTCCTGTGGAAGTTCTGGCCAGTGCAATAAGGCAATTAAAAGAAATAAAATATCAAACGATTGGAAAGATGTTAATGTGTCATCATTCATAGAAAACATGATTCATAGATATACATACACGAATGCTTTGAATTCATAAGTAGATTCAGCCAGTTGCTGGATATAAAGTCAATATACAAAAACTATTTTTATAGACATGAAACACGCAATGAGAAAAAAAATTTAACCATTTTTAGTAGCATCAAAAAACCCCCATACCTAGGAATATGAATTCATACAATGGACAATTACATATTACATAACCACTGTCGATATATAGGGAATATTTCCTTCCCTCTCCTAGTCAATACCACCTGAAAAAGTAACATTATTCTGATTGCCATCGTCATAGGTCAATGTTGCCGGTTCCTGACTTCCATATAATTAGAATAACACACATAGTCTTTTGTATGAGGTTTTTTTCTTTTTTCTTTTTGGCTTAAAATTGTATCTGTGAAATTCTCCAACCTTTTGCATGCATCAGATGCATTATTTCTTATTAATATGTAGTTATTCATTGTATGAATTTGTAGTACTATTTGGGATATGTTGATGGATATTTATCATTTCCAGTTTGGGATTATTATAAAGAAAATAGCCCTGAACATTTGTAATATATGACTTTTGGTGAATGTAGCATTCATTTCTGTTGATTACAAACTCAGGGGTGAAATTGTTGAGTCCTAAGGGAGCTATAGATGTATTCAACTTCAGCTGATATGGCTAAATAAATTTGCGAAAAAGATTGCATCAAGTTATGCTCCCATCAGCAATATGAGAGTTCCTGTTTTTCCACATTGTCAGCAACACTTTGTACTGTTACTCCTTTTAATTTTAGCCGATTTGGCTGAAGGTGTGGTAATATCTCATTGTAGTGGCCAGGCGTGGTGGCTCACGCCTGTAATCCCAGCACTGTGGGAAGCCAAGGTGGGCCGATCACGAGGTCAGGAGATCCAGACCATCCTGGCTAACATGATGAAACCCTGTTGCCTGTAGTCCCAACTACTTGGGAGGCTGAGGCAGGAGAATGGCATGAACTCGGGAGGCGGAGCTTGCAGTGAGCCTCCAGCCTGGGCAACAGAGTGAGACTCTCTCAAAAAAAAAAAAAAAAAAAATCTCATTGTAGTTTTAATTTGCATTTCCTTGCTGGATAATTAAGTGCCATTTCAATGCTTACAGATCATTATGGATCTCTTTTTTTTGTGAAATACTAATTCGAGTCTTTTGCCCATTTTTACATTTGGTGGCCTTTTTCTTTTTGATTAGTAGGAGTTCTTTATATATTCTGAATATAAGCCCTTTGTTTCATATATATATAATGGAGATATATTTTTCTGGTCTCTGTATTGCCTTTTTACTCTCTTAATGTCATATTTTAATGAACAAATTCTCAATAATGTCCTATTTATCATATGAATAGTATTTTTATGTATCTTTTTATGAATAGTATTTTTATGTATCTTTTTAAAGAAATCTTTGACTACTGCAAAGTCACAAATTATCCTAATTTTTAGAAGCTTATGCTTTTACTTTTCACATTAGCTCTCTTATTCATTTTAAATTAAATTTCTGTGTATGAAATAAGCCAAGTCTAAGGCTCATTATTTTCAAATAAATACTGATCAACAATATTTATCAACAAGACTAGCCTTCTATTTCATTATACTGGAGCCCTTGTTAAAACTCAGGTGTGTTTGCGAGTCTGTTCCTGAACCATTTTGTTCCACTGGTTTATCTCTCCTTGTACACACCCCACATTTAATTACTGCAGCTATACAAAATCTTGAAATCTGACACATTAATTCCTCCAAATTTGTTTTTCTACTTCAAGATTATCTTGGCTACTTTCAGTCCCTTTCACTGTCTATATAAATTGAAGAATCATATCATCAAATCTACCAAAAAAAAAAAAAACTCTAATGAGATTCTAATTAGGATTTCATTGAATTTAAATCTCAATTTGGACAGAACTGACTCTGTGATATTGAGTCTTCCAATCTCTGAGTGTGGTATATTACTCCATTTATTTACTGCTTTGTCCCTTAGCAATGCTTTCTAGTTTTCAGTGTAGAAAGTTGCACATCATTCACTGAATTTATTCTTTATCAGGGTTTCCACTGAACTGCCACTGAGGTGCCTGTTTCTGATTAGTGAACAAGTGAAGTGGGGACCTCAGTGGCCATTTAGCAAGGAAAAGTGAGGGCATGGATTTAGGGTAATCATGGCTGCAGTGAGCCACAATTACACCACTGCACTCCAGCCTGGGCAACAGAGCACGACCCTGTCTCAAAAAAAAAAATTATATGCACATTTAAAAGAATTGTGGGGTCAAGAGGTGGTTTCAGGAAGACAACTCTTAAAAGTGTCCCCTTACACAATCACTGAGAGCAGACTGTGATAAAGAGATGCCTGATGGGCAGGAAGCATAAATCGATGAGGATGAGACAGTCAAAGAAACAGAAAAACACGAAACATAAAAACAAAAAAGGCAATAAAAAAAAGTCACATTGTAATAAACATCTGCATGAGCTCCCCCAGTTTGTCAAGTATTACTTTCTCAGTCTTTAAGTTATGAGTATAGATACCATTTCTTACAGTGCCTTTGAGTCAGTGACTAGGTTTGCTCCGTGGCCTTTCCACAAACCTATAGCAAGAGTGTCCCTGTTTTGTAAGTGGGGCACCTGAAGTGCAGAAAATGAACTAATGTCCATAACCACACAATCAGAACATGGCAGTGCTAAGACGCGAGGCCACCTGGACAGCCCCTGTACTCTGCCCCCTGAGTTCCTGTGAACCATAGTGTGGTGCCAAGCCATGAGGACAGTCAACATCACCTATACCTTCAACTATCAGGCAACTTTGCAAGACACGAAGCGATGAAGACCAGACCAGAGGTGAGACTCACATCTCACCACTTCCTTCCTAGTATGAATTTGGGCGATTCACTGAACACTTCCATAAATAGAATGGAGTTGAAAATAATATTTATCTTCATTCATTCACAAGAATTGAACATGGCTGTACATACTAAATAAGATATTAAGCATAAATCATTCTAGCTCATATTAGCTGGTCAACAAACGTTTGTTCTCTCTGCCGGCATCTTCCCCATGAAGCAGATGGAAAGGGGAAGACATGATGTTACCACGTGTACCTAGGAGACACTTCCAACTGCACACAAAATTTACACCAGCTCAATCTATGGAAAATCAGAATCAATTTAACAGAAGAAAAATGCATACATGGCTGACTGACATGTAACATAGTACTTATGTCTGGTTATATAACTTAATTTCCTAAGCATGAAAAAGATCTGCTATGAAGGAATTTTGATCTCATTATAAAACCAAAAGTACAAATATTTTTTCACTATGTTGTGAACCAGAGTTAATACTCAACATCTATACTGAAGAACACCAACTCATTCTATCAACACATTGGTTATATACTTATATACACAGTAATTCTTTCCTCCCTGTCAATTGCATTTCTTGTTCACACTAATGTTACATATTAAATCAACTGACTAATTATAAACCAATATTTTGAATCAAAAAGCAAATGTGAGCGATTTCCAGCTGCCTTGTGGAATTAAAACATTTTGTCTATAAATACATCTATACTCATGGTAACATTTAATAAGAGAAATATGTCCCATTAAAAATCGCACTGCTCTGGAAAAAACAAAACAACGTAATAGTGTTTATTTTTATTTACTGCATTTCCTATATAGTCTTATTTACTTACTGTCACGCCTTTTTAATCCACTTATTTTTACAATTTCAAGAAAGTTGATAATATCTTTTCCTAGCTGGCAGAGTCCTGAAATCCTAATTGAAATATACAACATTTCTTTGCAAGAGCCTAGGGCTAAGAAGTTAGCATAGTGGACGACTCTGAGGTCAGAGTGGATCCCTGACAGACAGAGGTCCTAGCCACGCAGCCTTGGACCGGTTCCAAAACAAAATATTCAAGCTCTCCAACAATCCAACATTTTAGGGAATGGGGCAAAGAGGGCAACAGTTTCCAGCATATTTCTAAAAAATGGGTCTGTGGTCTCACAATGTCAACAAGCACTGCAATAAGTTTGGAGGCTTTCAGATGCAGCAACCAGATCGTTTTACATCTGTAGTTCTAGTAACACTTTATGAAACAAAATTGGGACTCAATAGTGTTGTGTTGAATGGTTATGTAATATTAACACCCATTTGTTATCCATTACAATCTTCATTCACTGGAGAAGGAAATTTTCAGGAACTGATTTTTCTATCGAACTCTGGGGATATGAGTTTTTCTGTCCTGGGTAAATGTCACAGCTGGAATAACCCTAGATAGGAGAAGTCATGGAATGAAAGTAACATACTATGATGCAACTGACTCCAGCTCCCATACATCCAAAAATGACAATATTGGGTGACTGAAATGAATCTTCATTGATGAGATTCTCAGGGTTGGTCGCAAGATTGGGTCAAAACCTCTGGCAATGAGATAGGAAAGACTGCTTTAGGTGAAAGGGTGCTGTCTCTCTCCTAATAGCGAGCCAAACCTTGAGACTTTGGTTTGGCTGCAGAGGGGTTTGATCACAGTGGAGCAGGATGATGCGGGGCCCATG